>NT_187618.1:0-111737 GCF_000001405.40 Homo sapiens | reverse complement strand
AAGTGAAGTATGATGGTACTAAAGGCAAAATTTAGTGATGCCTTCGAAGTCTGAATATACTTTTTTGATGTTGAAATCCTTGAGTTACTAATAATAGCTCACGTGCATAGCATGTCAAACTTCTTAAAATAATCACTTAACTTTTAATATGTATTCTTTTGTGTTAAGTCATTATTTCCTCTTGACAGGTAATAGCACTCAGATATAAAGATGTTAGATTTATCTGTTTAGACGGTGAATCTGTAACCTCACCCAATCTGAAACCCACTTCTCATTCTTGCTATAGTTCTTCTTTATATTTTCTAATATGGTTCCTGTGGACCTTCTAGAGTTGTTTCGAGTGTTTCTCTTGCTGTTTCCATGACTGCTTTTGAAGATATTCATTAAGAAAGGAGTATCTATTTATATGGATGAGACAGTAGTGTGCTGGCAAATATTTATCAATCAACTCCTTAGGAAAAAATGATCAATATTTATTTATAGGGTTTGCCAATTTCTTAGTCTGTTTTGTTTTGCTGTAAAAAAGTACCTGAGACTGTGTAATCTATAAAAAAACGAAATTTATTTCTTACAAATTTTAGAGGTTGGAAAGTCTAAGATCAAAATGCCAGTAGGTTCAGTGTCTGGTGAGGGACCAGTCTCTACTTCCAAGATGGCATATTGATGGCTGCATTCTCCAGAGGGTAGAGACACAATTCCTCACATGCCAAAAAAGTTGAAGGGAAGGAAACCACTCCTGAAGGCTGAAAGCGCTTTCATTGTAGTATTATTCCATTAATGAGGCCAGAGTCTTCATGACAGAAACACCTTCTATTCAGTGCTGCTTCCCAATACTGTTGCATTGGTAATTAAGCTTTCAACTCATGAGTTTTGGAAGGGGCAAAACATTCAAACCAAAGTAGCCAATTTTTGTAGTATAAATACTCCCGTCATGGTTAATTTCAAGCTACTAATATAATGTCACCGAAATAAGAGTTGTTAAAAAGAAAAGGCGATGCCAGCTGGCTCTAGCATGCCATTGGTTCAAATATTTCTCACTTCTTGTGTCTATTAGTTCCAGATTAACTGATATAGCTCATTAGGGCTGAAAAATTCTAATTATACTCTCCAAGTTTCACTTTGTCCAAGCATGAGTCTATGGAGTATAGTTATTTTTAGCTTATTGTAATACTTTAGTGAAAGCTTCAGAGAGAAATACAAGAATAATAAAACTTGGGGGAAGATGAGAACAAGGTATGTAACTCAAAGAAAAAGGAATATTTTCCTGGGAATGAGTAGCCTCCTTTCTTTGTGAAGTTTTTATATGAGCTTCTTCTCCCTGACTCACTTGACCTGGATGTACACCAACATCTATGTTTCTAGCAATCTCTAGCCTAGCTTCAGATATCTTCAGATATTTCCTCTCTTGAGCTTCAGATATTTATAGACATAAATGCTTTATTAACATCTCCAGCATGTTAAAAACTAAACACAGTATTACCTGGCCTCAACGGCACTAACTCATCTCTTTCTTTATTCCCTAATTGATTAAGAAAGGAAACCAAAATTCAACTTAGACCTCTTCCCCTGCCTCACCACAGTAGTTAACCCATTAGCAAATTCTACTAATTTTATAACGTATTGTTTTCCTTGAATTTCTGCGTGATAACCCTTTCCCGGTTTCAGTACAATTTATAGCATGGTTTACAAATCTTCCTTCAGTTGGCCCTTTCTGACTCTCCAGAATCATTGCTTACCATTCCTGTCTCATACTCTACATTATAATGCCAGACCAGTTATAGAAGCCCAGTGTGATTCACGCTTCTGTATTTTTTGGAACCTGTACTATCTTAGAGTACACCCTCCCTACAGTCTTATCTTCTTTGCCTGGAAAATTATTTCTTCATCCTTTAATATCTACCTCCAATGGCAACTCTTCTAGAAAATCTTCCCTGAATCCCATTCTTTCCCATTGCTGTTATAAGTGTTATTTCTCTTTATTTTAATTGCACACTTTGTAGATTCCAGACTTTAGAATATTACAAAGAGTTATATGTTTATAGATCTCTCCTTCTTAAAATTCTTTATGCTCTTAAAGAGAGGCACAATGTGGTATTTGTCTTTATACTTTTAGGACTTAGCATAGAATTTGGCATATAATAGTTAAATGGTATTATTAAACGATAAAGAAGTATCTTAGCACATGCATTAAAGTCAGAATCGTTATTTCAAAGGACATTAAGATGGAAGCAATAACCTAAAAACTGGCAATTCTGGCTTGATTTGATCATGTGTGCAGTTTATTTCTGAGAGTCTTAAAATACTTTATGCCCATATCTAGTATTTGTAAAATTAATTCAGAATGAGGAAGGAAAGGTGGCATTAGGAGGCAGAAACAAATTGTTTGAAAATGCTCATTCAGTATTTGAGTTCATAGCTCAATGCAGAAAGCATTGATGATATGGCATTGTAATATATGTTACATTTCAGAATTTTAAGAAGCATAGTCACTTGACATCCTCCCTGGTTCCTGAGTTTCCTGGACAAAGAAGTAGGCAGGCTTTTTTCTCCTATGAGTGGTGTCACATAATGGTTAAAATGGGAAATTGGAATTAGAAAGACAATATTAAAATTCCTTGTCTGATACTTAAAAAGATTATAACCTTGGGTAAGTTATTTAAACTCCTCTAAAGAGTCTGTTTTTGTTCTGTAAATTGTGAATAACAATATCAGCCTCCCAAGTTCATTATAATAATCCATTTAGATAATGTGTGGGTATGGTCAAGGTTTTTGTTGTAAGCCTCAGAAACTGATTCTAGTTATTTTAGGCAATAAAAAATACATTTGAAAGATGTAAGACACTCATAGACATAACTAGAGACACAACTAGCACTTGCAATAGCAAACTTTGAAAACAATATCCAAAACAAATTTCAGAAGGAAAAAAGCAGAAAGCAGAAAAACCACTGGGAACTATCATGCCATATTACCACTGCTGCCAATGCACTAGACACTCCTCTATCTTGGCATTTATCCAGTTTTAATTCTAACCTGTCTTTAGGCTTCAGTTACAAATCCCAGGTATAGAGTCTTGTATAAAAACATTAAGTTGCCCATGACCTAATCATGTTTTCTCCTATTTCTGCAAAGCATTAAAGAGAGATGACCACTTTTCTATAGCTTTACTAAAAAGTGGTTGGACTCTTTTTCCCATGAATACCAAACATTATTGAGGATTATTCTTAAATAGGGAGGACCATTAGTCTTTTTCCCACCAATACCAAACATTATTGAGGATTATTCTTAAATAGGAAGGACCATTAAGTTAGTCTGTAAAAATGGCAAATAACTATTATTTTTTTTTTTTTGAGATGGAGCTTTGCTCTTGTTGCACAGGCTGGAGTGCAATGGTACGATCTTGGCTCACTGCAACCTCTGCTTCCCAAATTCAAGCGATTCTCCTGCCTCAGCCTCCAGAGTAGCTGGGATTGCAGATGCCCACAACCAAACCTGGCTAATTTTTTGTATTTTTAGTAGAGATGGGGTTTTGCCATGTTGGCCAGGCTGGTCTCAAACTCCTGACCTCAGGTGGTCCACCCGCCTCGGCCTCCCCAAGTGTTGGGATTACAGGTGTGAGCCACCATGCCCAGCCACAAATACTTAATAAATTCCTTTACCTGCTTATCATCTACAGATACTTGTCTTTCCTACTTATATAAAACTAATCCCTCCTTGGATATGGTTACCATCCCTCTTATAATCAAAAAAACACACTCAGCATGTTCTCAAAGGAAATAATTCAAATTCATGTCTGTTGTTCTACTCAACTTGTATGTCCAGTATTTTGGGGTAGGGCATACTCATCTATCATAACCGTCTTGCTTTTCTGCAAAATATTAACTAAAAGATCAATTTAACCAACAAGGCCACACTTTACAAAAATATAGTAAGAATAGTAGGAATGCAAAACAAATTAATAAAGATATGAATAAATAACCATGAGATCACGAAACAGGAAAATTACAATGGACACTGCTTTGTTTCTAAAACGAATCTGAACAGAATTGCTGGTATTTAAGAATCTTGCCCTCCATTCTCATCCAATGACTCTTTGCCTTTAGCTTGCAACTCAGCTTATCAGAAGCAGAGAACAAATAGGATCAAAAAAAGTACCTATTGGATACTAGGCTAATTACCTGGGTGATGAAATAATCTGTGTACTAATGATATGGTTTGGCTGTGTCTCCACCCAAATCTCATCTTGAATTCCCACGTGTAGTGAGAGGGACCCAGCTGGAGGAAATTAAATCATGGGGGCAGGTCTTTCCTGTGCTATTCTTATGACAGTGAATAAGTCTCACAAGGTATGATGGTTTTATGAGGGGAATTTCCCTGCACAAGCTCTATTAGCCTGCTGTCATCCATGTAAGATGAGACTTGTTGCTCCTTGCCTTCTTCCATGATTGCCAGGCTTCCCCAGCCATGTGGAAGTCTAAGTCCATTAAATCTCTTTCTTTTGTAAATTGCTCAGTCTTGGGCATATCTTTATCAGCAGCATGAAAATGAAATAATACAATAATACAACCAAACAACACCCATGACATGCAAATTTGCCACGTAACAAACCTGCACATGTATCCCCTGAACCTAAAATAAACACTTACTAGCTCTCTAGAAGTCTTCCTTGAATTTTCTTCAAGTCACGACTCCTTTCAAAGATGTCCACTATTCCACTATCCTGATTAATAACAGTATGGATTACTTTGCCTATTATTCTTTAATTAACTTTTATTATTAGCCCATGTACTATTAGAGATTGCTCCAATAGCTCCCCTGAGTTCTATTTGTAACTTCTCCCTGGCGAAATTGGGTTGAAGAACCTATATTTTCCTAACAGTCAAAATCAATCACCCCAATTGACACAATGGCCCTTGTTTTTCATCTCTTTATGTAGTAGTATGAGGAACACTGGAGCATGTTGGTAAGAGTGAAATTTTACACTTGTGTTGTGCAAGTTAACTGTTCCCTCTGTTTTCTGTTTATCAGACTAATGACAAAACATTTGTCACTAGGTGCCGGGGCAATGCAAATTTGCTCTAGTGAGAAATTCATTTGTGCAACTGGTGTTTATCATGTAATTCATTGTTATTCTTCAATGTCACAGGTATTTTTTTTTTTTTGTATTTGGACACATGGAGATGTAATGAGGATGTACAGTAATTATCTACCCTACATCTTACAAGTCTTAACAGTTGCACTCACCACTGAAACTCCCACAGGCTTATGATATACTTTGAGATTTACTATTTTGGGAGCAGTAAATCTCCTATGGTTCACATTTCACCAGTTCTATAAGTTCTTCCTCCATGAAGTAAGAGAATCAGTTTAGTTATTCTATTAATTATTTCAGATAGGAACAAGTGTTCTTAGAGCCAGAGTTCTAAAAATCTTGATATTTTTGGTGATTTAACATTTTCTTGTATTCCATTAGTCTAGGGATTGTGGGAAATGGAGGAAGAAGTCTTAGAGTGTAATCTCTGTTGGTCTTAGATTGTCTTTTTACAAGAGTATATGGACTCCTCTTCTTTTAAGGAACTTTAAGTTTGTGTACAGAGTCAGGTTTATGAAACAAGTTCGATGCTGTGACTCTCCATTTTGCGGCATAAACATTTTAAAAAGGACCTGGTGGACTGCCCTCCTATTGTGTTCCTAGTAACCCCACACAATCAAATAATAGCCTTCAAAAATATCTACAGAATAGATAATTCTTATCATTACTCTCACACTCCTTCAATGATACTAACCATAATGACTTTGCTTCTTATATGCTCCCACTTAGTCTCTGTCATTGAGAGATCCCTTTAGACATGTTAGAGTTTACATACAATGTAACAGAGAATCCACATAATTCTGGTAACAAACATTGAGATGCTTTTCAAACATGTTGAGAATTTATTTTCCATGTAAGAATATATTGACAAGAGTATCCCTATAATGGTATACATTGTATGAGATAGTATGATGGAGTATAAATGATAAATGTACTCGATGATTTTGTGTTGAATCTATATTTCTGTTTGCTAATCAAGGAATCATAAAAATCACTTTATTCATTTGTCAGCCCAAGGACTTCAGAATCTCTGGTATATTCAGCAGTGTGAAGACATTAAACTTCTTCTTGTACTCAATGTCTCAAAATCATTTCCTACATTATTTCCCAGACTTAAAATAGCAAAGTCCTGCTCTTCTGGCTTTGTAAAGCTTCTCTTCCTAGGTTTGACTTTGTATGGGTCATCCCCTATCAGCTGGAAATGCTGGAATCTGATTCTAGTTTTATATTTGGATGAGGACTGACAGCAAAGCATGCAGAAAACTAGCCTATTTTGTTAAGGTATAAAGGCTCAGAATAATAATTTCTGCACCTTTACCAGTTAGTGAAAAATAACTTCATAGACAAAGGGAGGAGGAACCCACTAAAGGCTGATGGCTCATGGAATATGAAGTCTTCTAAATTCTACTTTATGTCTCTATTACAGTTTTCAGAACTTGGCTATTTTTCTCGTCTGTTCCCAAATCTGTGTACATAAATAATGTAAGAAGGAAATTTTCAGGATCAAACTTCAAGTCTGTCTTTCAAATATTTTCAGGCTTTTAAGTTGCAGGAAAATAATTAGTATTTTATACTGCTTAATTAGAAATCTGTGAAATTTGATTGATTTGTAAAATCTCAGCTATTTTATTCTAGAAGCAGCCATCTTACTTTGATCCCATTGAATTACTCAAATCTCTTGTATTGTTCAGCATACTAGCACTCCGAACCCTAACTTAATGGACCTTTGATTACATGTGAACATAGCTGATAAATCACACATTCTTTTTTGCCCTATATATATTGAGATGGTAGATTCCCATTTTTAAAAATTAATAAAATAGTCGCTATTTTTTTATCCCAGCTAGGAAAGAAAGTCTCAGATTTCCCACATTTTTTTACTTAAAAGAGAAAGAAGAATACTGCCTTTACTTCTCTTTTACTTTATTTCTTTTTCCTCAACATTCCAGATGTAAATACCCTTCTTTGTATTCATTATGCTAAACACAACTAACAGTCTTGGAAATATAGATATAATATAAATATTATATGTAGATATATTTATATGTTAATATAAATAATTTAGAAGACTCTGAAAGGTAGCAATAAAAAGACTGACTGGCTAGAACCTTGAGGCTAAAAAAAAACACGATGGTGTTTCCTGAGTTTTCTTTTTGCTTCAAACATCCTAGTTGCTAGAATTATCTGACAAGAATTTTAAAGCAGCCAATATATGTCTTTAATGAGCAATTATGAAAATACTTGAAACAAATGAATAAAATACGTACTGGCAAAATAATAGAAGACATAAAGTAGAACCAAAAGGTAATTTTAGACCTAGGAAGAATGAAATTTTCAGGGTCAAACTTCAAGTCTGTCTTTCAAATATTTTCAGACTTTTAAGTTGCAGGAAAATAATTAGTATTTTGTACTACTTAATTAGAAATCTGTGAAATTTGATTGATTTGTAAAATCTCAGCTATTTTATTCTAGAAGCAGCCATCTTAGGCTGCTAGGAAATATAATATCAGAAAAAAGAAAACAAAAACCTCAGTGAATTGGCTCCATAGCAGACTGGAGGGGACAGAAAAAATAATCAGTGAATTTGAAGATAAAACAATAGAAATCTTAGTGAAAGATAGACCAAAAGAAGAAAAAAAAGAGTAGAACCTCAGGGACTTTTGAGAGTACAACAAATAAATTAATGGTCATGTTATTAAAGACTCAGAAGAGAAGCTAAAAAAGTCACAACAGTGGGGCTGAAAAAACTATCTGAAGAAATAATGGCTGAAATTTTCCCAAATTTGTTAAAAGATACATGCCTACAAATTCAAGAACTGAATGAACCCCAAACAGAATAAACTCAAAAAGATTGTACTCCAAAATAAATTATGATCAATCTTCTGGAAAATGAAAACAAAGAAAACATCTTAAAAGCCACAGGAGATAAGCAACACCTTGCCTATAAAAGAAAACCATTTCAAATCACAGGTGATTTCTCATCAAAAATCATTTATGCCAGAAGGAAGTAGCACAATTTCCATGTGCTGAAAAAAAGAAAGGAAATGTCAACTGTAATTACTATCTGGCAAAACTATCTAGAATAAGGGAATAAAGGGGCAAACAAATGTATTCTTAGATCAAGAAAATAAGGAAATTTGTAGCATTTAGATCTACTCTAAAAAAATCTATGAAGGAAGCAATTATGAAAATTGCTTGAACCAAAAAAGGAGAGAGAGAGAAAAAGACAATAAAAACAAAGAAATAAAGAAAATAAATGTCAAGAAAGAAGGAAAAAAGGATAACAAAAGAAGCTCCGAATATTAAAAGAAAAAAAGAACAATGGAAAGAGCAAAACATAGGTAAATAAAGTAGACTCATTTCCTCTTGAGATTACTAAACTATATTTAATGGTTGAAGGCAAAAGAATAACATTGTTTCAAATAGGCAGATAGAATATTTTGACAATTATGCATGGAGAAAGGTAAAAAGAGAAGTAATAGTTCTACATGTCACTCAAGCTGGTAAAATGTCAACATTAGTAGACTGTGATAAGTTATGTATGTCCCAAGTAAAATCTATAGCAACAACTTTAAAATCTATATAAAAAGAGAATTTTATATAGATAACTAAAAGTAGAATTTTAAGAAATTCTACTTTTATATAGATAGCTAAAAGTAGAATTTTAAGAAATTTAACCCAAAGAAACGCAGAAAAAAATAAGAGTTAACAAAAAGATTTAAAAAAAAAAAACATGGAACAACCAGAAAGCAAAAAGTAAAATGACAGATAAGCCCTGACATATCAATATTTATTAATGAAATGTAAATTATCTAAATATACCAATTAACAGACAGAAATGGCAGAGATTTTATAAAATGACCTAACTATAAGCCATCAACAAGAAACTCCCTTTAAATATTATCATAGATTGACAGTAAAAGGAGAAAATATGTATATATATATATATATATATATATATATATATATATGCCATGCAAATATTCATTAATAGAAAGCAGAGACAGTTACATTAATATCTGATCATCCACAGCTAACACATTACTGAATAGGGGAAAGCTGAAAGCTTTTCCTGTAAGAACTGAAACAACACAAGGATGCCTACTTTCATCACTCTTATTCAACATAGTGTTAGAAGTCCTAGCCACAGCAATTGGTCAAGAGAAAAATAAAATGCATCCAAAGTGGAAAGAAGGAAGTCAAATTGTTCCCGTTGCCTGATAACATAATCTTATATAGAGAAAAAGTTAAAGACTCTACCAAAAAACTCTTAGAAGTGATAAACAAATTCAGTAAGGTTACAAGATACAAATTAATAAACAAAAATCAGTGGTGTTTTCATGCATGAACAACGAGCTAGCTAAAAGTAAAATCCAGAAGGAAATCCCATTTATAATAGCTATGAAATATAATAAAATACCTAGGAATACATTTAATCAACGAGTTAAAAGATCTTTATAAGGACAATGACATATATTGATTTTTAAAAGGGAAGAAGAAACAAAGAAGTGGAAAGATATCTCATGCTCATAAATTAGAATAATTCATATTGTCAAAATGAAAATACTACCAAAGCAGTCTACAGAGTCAGCATGATTCTTTTCAAAATACCAATGGCATTTTTCACAGAAAACAAAAATATCTAAAATTTATATGGAACCACAAAAAACCTCGAATATCTAAAGCAATCCTGAGCAAAAATAACAAAGCTAGAGGTATCACACTATCAGACCTCAAAATACACTATGAACCTGTAGTAACCAAGTAGCATGGCACTGACATAAAAACAGATGCATAAAACAATGGAACAGAATAGAGGCCCCAGAAATTAATCCACATAACTGCAACCCACTGATTTTTTAGAAAGGTCTCAAGAACACTCCCTGGGGAAAAGATAGTCTCTTCAAAATATGCTTCTGGGAAAACTAGATATTCAAATGCAGAAGAATAAAACTAGACTCCTGCCTCTCACCCTATACAAAAAAAGTTTGACAACTTTGAGTTGTCAAACTGTCAGCGGTGGAGGGTGTCCAGGTTCTTGGTGTGGTGAACAAAAAATTGGACAAAACGCACAAAGGAAGGATGGAAAGAAGAGATTTATTGAAAATGAAAGTACACTCCACAGTGTGAGAGTAGGCCGAAGCATAGGGGCTCAAAGGCCCTGTTACCGAATTTTTGGGAGTTTAAATACCCTCTACTTGGGATACGCCCTATGTAAATGAAGAAGATGAAGTAAAGTTACAAAGTTATTTACTTGGCCTATGCCCTATGGAGAGGATATTTCCTGTCATAGCTGAAGTGTGAATTGGCCTTATGTTCCCTGCCTCCAGACACTATTTTCCTGTCTTATCTTCCGCCTGAGAGATGTGATCCCCATAAATCTTTATGGGAGGCAGAGGGATCAACGGTCTTTTTTCTATAACTGCATCATGGTGGCTTGGGGCATAGTCCCTACCTACTGGGGATCATGGAACTCTCCTTGTTCTATCTAGTGGAGGCAGGGTAGCTTCTTGATGGCCATGGGTGGTGTCATCACCTGGAACTGGCTGGAGCCTCTGTTGCGTGATCATCTGAAGCTTCATGGTCTCTAGGCCAGAGGAAATGAATTTGGTTAAAAGATTTAATGGGAACTTTAGTGGGTGGATACCTATACGGTTAGGAATGTTTGTTACAGTGATTTGCAGAAGAAAAAAACAAAACCTGTTCTGTTCTACAAATCTCTGTGTTTCCTTAAAGCCTTAACAGAAATGACTGCATTTTGGTTTGGTTTTGTTTGTCGGGACATAGTGCATGAGCTTAGTCCAAAACAATGGCCTCCCAGAATCTTGTTTAAAAAATTCCCCCTTTTTGGTCAGGTTCTCACTTAGGTGAGAGTGTAACCAAAACTTAGGGCCTTAGCGACACTCTTAGTTATGATCATTTTGGATTTCTGGTCTTAGCACATTATTTATAGGGTTACGGTGTCCTCCTTGTTGCACATTTCTTTCAATTCTTATCATTCCAGTTGAAGAGAGACCATATGACATTCTAGAGATGGCTACAAGAAAGCATGTAAAATCTTTGAGAGAATACAGCATGCCAGGGAGACTATTATTATAATTTTGGGAGGATAATACCAAGAGTTCAGAGTATGCTCCTTACTCAGGGTCCCCATAAACCAAGCCACCTAAAATTAAATAGATTCAAGAATGAGCTAGATGAAGAGTCTACTCACTTGACTAAGTGGTCTTTTCATTAATCCCCTAAAACTGAATTTTTAAAATCTGCATTTAATCTATTTCTCCATAGGCCACAAGTGTCAGCAGCTGCACAGGTACTTTTCTGTTTAGCCAATTCTATTATTTAGCATAACTTTCACAAGAAAATTTAAAGTCTGTTATGTAATGATAGGCTTTAAGATAGAATTTGCTATAGAGCCTATCATGAGGGATACATTTCTAATCATTGCTTCTTTTACTTTAAACCATGGAAAAGGGACCTAACAAATGATGCCCTTCTAGAAGACTGAAGGCCTCCTGGCAATGTTCTTTTTAACCCGTGATGTGGGTTAAGACGAATGAAACAATGTTTCATTTTTTGACTGATTATGAGGCAACATATGTACCATTTAAATTTCTTACCTACATTGGGCCTTCATCTTTTATCTATCAAAGTATAAGGTTATCCATGTATAAAGCTGGCTGCAAACTCCTTCACAAATAAAAGTGTACCCCATAAGTGTGCATAACAGACCCTTCTATTCTATTCCACTTCTATTGTTTGTAGAGGCCTAAGCAAGAAAAAAAAATCAAAGATAAGAGTTTCATGATAGCAGAAGTCTTAATTTGTGAACATGGGAAAGCTGTTCACATCAAGGATGCCATCTTCTTGGGAGAAATTTTCATGGTTAGCTTTACCTCAAGTGTTCTAATGGTTGCACAATTGCAAAAGTGTGGAGGGACCCTTCTTAGTTGCGAGGCCATGAACTCAAAGCCCCAAGGTCTTGAAGTCTTGTTGTAGTGTGGATGGCAAGGACGGTCTTTCTCTGAAGTTCTCAGAAGATCGAAACAATAAAAAGCTTTATTTACCTAGTGAAAATACACTGTAGTATAATAATCTGCTGTTTTAACATCTTGCATGGGAAAGCTTATATACAACCAGAAAATATAATTGAAAATAACAATGGAATGAAATCCCTTTATAAAATGTTTAAATGGTCCACCAGGTGACCAAATGTATGTGAAGCTTTGTCTTCCCAGGAATATAGGACCAAGCATTGGTTATAAACTATTTTAAACAAGTTCAGTGTCAGCTGGTTTAACATGAAAATCTGACAAAATATTTTCTTGGTATTTAATTAATTTTTGTTTTACTTGGGTTAGTAGCTTCATAAAAGGAAATTTGGTTAGTTTCTGTGGTTTATAATAACATAATAACCATAGTTATAATTGATAGCATATACTATTTTATGAATCCTATACAATTTAAAAACATATATTATTCACAAAAATATAACCCAAAGAAAATTGAACATCATTTTGGCAATCCCACGCACCTATACATGTGAAATAATCCTGTTTGTCTCTTTTCTGGATGTTTTCAGGGGCCCTCTGACCCATCCAGAAAGCAATGCCTTAGGAAAGACAATTTTGAAACTGAAGTTTGATTTTGGAATTCCAGATTACTATAAATTATTTATTTTGCCAAAATGATGCTCAGAAACAAAAGCCTTTTATAACCTTTAACAAAAACAAACAAACAAAACATATTCTACTGTTTTACACACCTTGCATGTAAAACTGTTCCTAGTAGTTTTAACTGCATGTTACAATGGCGACTCTTAGAATTTTAACTATAGTTTAAAACCTGGTAAGTCTGTTCTGACAAGTTTGACTATTTTCAGCATAGCTAGGGCGTGGCCAGCTCCACATATCCCAAGGCCTTCACTAGCTGGAAAGCAGGCAAGTTAAACAATTTTCAAAAGCCAAAGAAGCAGTTTATGACCTTAGAGCATTTAGCAAACCTAGTATTTGAACATAATTTAGACCACATGTTTACATTTTTAAGACATTTGTATTTTACCAGTAATCTTTAAAACTGTCTTTATTTCTCAAAGATTATTGAAGTCATATGAACTAAATAAAAGGCATTACGTTTTTCACTTTTCTGACAAAATATTTGATTTAAGCTCTTATTATTATTAAATCAATTAATTAAAAACTTTACAGAATATATACAGTGACTTTTACTTTATATTTTACCAATTTGAACAGAGAGAAAGAGGACAGAGACTGATTGGTACGAAATTTTAACCGTGTTGCTGGCATGCTAGGTTTCTGGATTCCCTCTCCCTGAGTGGCTTTAGAGACCCTGCTTGACTGGAAGCAAACAAACACATGGCCATTACTTAAGAATATTCACAAATAGTTTACAAGTTTTGGAGATATTAGGTGGGAATCTGCCTCAAATTCTATTTATGAAAGTATATTCAACACACTTAAAGTGTTAGGAAGCCTAAAATGCAAAAAGTTAGTTTATGAGGATAAAAAGCTGGTGTGCTCCCATTCCTGTGGCCCAACAAATGTAGCTTAGGAATTCTGGATAAATGGAACAAATGATGACTTGCTAGAAATGCATACAAAACAAAATAACTATTCACAGAACCAAGTAAAAGCCTTCCATTAGAAACTAAAAAGTATCATGGTTTTGTATATATGGATACACAAGTGAAGCCAGAGGAGAAGAAACAACAAACAAATGAAAACTAGAAGCAAAAATAAACAGGAAACCAACCCTAAATTTTCCAACTTAATTTACCCTGGAGGTTACAGTGTTACCTAGGGCCACCCCCCACGCCCGCCCCCCAAAAAACCCCACATAATGAATAGTTTATCCCTGATACACAAATTTAATATCTTTAAGTTCACCAATATTATTATTTATTCTGTGCAATCAAGAAATTTCACTTTAGGTAGTTGACCAATAAGTACTCTAGCACTATCCATGCAAAACAGCAAACACAGTGTGAAGCAATGCAAGCATGTATGTGAAATTTGGCTTTACGCTAAATTTCAGCTTTATGCTTAACTCTATCTATCTATCTATCTATCTATCTATCTATCTATCTATCTATCTAAAAGAATCGCCAAACTGCGGATGCATTTCTTTACAATACTTCTTATTTTACTTTAATCAGGGCTACACATCTAAACATGCATACACACATAAACGAAGATCCAATAGTTTGGAACCTTAGCCATAAGATAGAAATACAAGCTTGCTGGTTTTACTTTGCCCCAGTAGATAATCCAATGAAAGTTGTGAACCAAAATTTTGAGTAAAGCAGTCTCCATGGAAGTTTGATATTTAAAGGCCAGACCTCCCCAGACTCCAAAGAGCCCTGGGGCCAAACAGTACCAAAGGAGGGTGTCACATGTTAACCAGGCCCCCTGCTTAGAAACCGCAGAACAAAAGCCTGGATACATGCAATGCCATTCCTCTTTCCCATTCAACAGTAAACTCCAGATTCCAAGCAATGTTGGGGCCAGACATCATTGCAACTGAGAGAAAATTCCAAGGAGGGTTGACTCCTAGACCTCAGAACCTCTACCGAGAGCGTCTCCCTTGGGCAGGTTGAGGTCTGCAGGATCCACAGAGCGTCCTCCTGTGGGGTCCAATCTTAGAGTGTCAGACGTCTCTGTCCTTAGGTGGGCACCACACGCAGGTGTTCCCCTCCAGAGCATACTATGAGCTTTATAAGAATAGCCATGAACTGTAATGAGAACTAGATGCCAGCTGGGTGTTTTTCATCCCTAGCCTGTTGAGTCTGATAAGGGAAGAAGTTAGCATACGAAGACAAGGTTTAAGTCCCCCGAAACATGTGTGATTTGCCCTGAGCTGCTCCGCATGTAAGGATCAGGGACCATGTGCAGAAAAGATTAAACAAAAAGAAGTCCTTGCCCCTTTGGGGCAGAGCAACTATAAACAGCTGCTGAAAGACTGAAAAAGAAAGAAACGAAAAAAATGAAAAAAACCCAGTTTCCTTCAGTGAGCCAGGTGGTGGCGGTCAGGTTTCTCCACGTGGTGTTGTACCCAAGCAAGTTAGTGAGAACACCACACTTTGAGATGAATTAAGAGTCCTTTATTAAGCAGGCGGCCAAAGAGACAGCTAATGCTCAAAAATCTCTCGGCCCAGAGGAAGGGGCTTGATTAACTTTTATACCTAGGTTTAGGAAGGGGAGGGGGACTCAAATGCAATAATTCTACAGAAGTAAAAACATGCAAGAATCAAAAGAAGCAAAATGGTTACAGAGAGATAAACAATTTAAAAGACAAATGGTTACAAAAAGAGCAACGGTACCAGGCGCAAAGCTCTAAATCTTTCATTATAATTAGATATAGGGAGTATGCGGGACCCGAACTCAAGGCTTTATGTTGTTATCTCTTTAAGAAAAATCCTGGGAACTTCATACATTGTTGGTGCTAGTACCTTATCAGTTAACTGGGCTCCTTTGAAATACTGAGGATCTGCTTACACAGGTCAACTCCTCGCGGAAGGGGGTTGGGTAAGGAGCCCTTAGTGTCTTGTAAATTAAGGGGTCAACTGGAGTTTGTCCGGCTTTCCCAGCTAGAGAGAGTCTTATTTACACGGGAAGCAAGGCTAGGTGATTAAAGAGACAAGCAGGATAAAATTCCAAGTAGCGAGTTAGAGTAAAAACAAGGTTAGGCATTTCAGTGGAAACCCCTAAGTTTCATTGGCCATGGCCAGAAACCTGCAGTTGTCTCCATGTTTAGGTGCTACCCACCAAGGGTCCCAACTTGGAAAAGAAAAGAGAGAGAGAGTCCCTGTATGGAGCAGAAAGGAAAGGGAGAAAAATGAATCTCAAACTTTGGGCTTACCTCTTCCTCCTGGCTGGTTCGTCAAAATATGTTAATGGTGGAGGGTGTCCAGGTTCTTCACATCTTGAACAAATAATTGGACAAAATGCACAAACAAAGCAAGGAAGGAATGAAAAGATTTATTGAAAATAAAAGTACATTCCGCAGAGTGGGAGTGGGCCCGAGCTTAGGGGCTCAAAAGTCCCATTACAGAATTTTTGTGAGTTTAAATATTCTCTACTTGGGGTACACCCTATGTAAATGAAGAGGATGAAGTAAAGTTACAAAGTCATTTACTTGGCCTATGCCCTATGGAGAGGAAATTTCCTGTCACAGCTGAAGTGTGAATTGGCCTTATGTTCCCTGCCTGCAGATCCTGTTTTCCTGCCTCAAAAGTGCATCAAATACCTAAATTAGACCTAAAATGAGAAAAACTACTAGAAAAAAACATAGAGGAAATGCTTCAGAACATTGGTTTGAGAAAGAATTTTATGAATAAGACCTCAAAAGCACAGGCAACAAAAGAAACAAAACAAATGGCATTGTATCAAACTAAAAAACAGCACAGCAAAATAATCAATCAACAGAGTGAAAAAAACCTAAAGACTGAAAAAAAATGTGCAAACTACTTATCCAACAGGAGGCTTATATCTAGAATACACAAGGAACTAAAAAGTCTCAACAGCAAAAGAAGTCATTAAAAAATGTGAAAATTATCTGAACAGACATTTCTCAAAAGAAGACATACAAATAACCAAGAAATACATGAAAAAATGCTCACCATCACTAATTATCAGGAAAATGCAAATCAAAAATACAGCAAAGTATTATCTTACCACAGTTAAGGTGGCTATTATCAAAAACACAGTAAATAATAAATGCTGATGAGGACATAGAGAAAAGAGAACTTTTATATACTGTTGGTGGAAATGTAAACTAGTATAATACAACCACTGTGGAGAACAGCATGGAGTCTCCTCAAAAAATTACAAGTGGAACTACTATAGGATCTGGCAATCCCACTACTGGGCACTTATTCAAAGGAAAGGAAATCAGTATATCAAAAAGACCCCTGCACCTCCATGGTTATTTCAGCACTATACCCAATAGCCAAGATATGGAATCAACTTTGGTGTCCAACAACAGATGAGTGAATAAAGAAAACATAGCATATATATATGATAGAATATTATTCAGCCTTAAAAAAGAGTGAAATTCTTCATTCATGACAACATGGATAGAACTGGATGATATCATGTGAAGTGAAATAAGCTAGGAAATAAGTTAAATGCCACATGTTCTCATTTATATGTGGAAGCTAAAACAGGTTGATCTCATAGAAGTAAAAAGTAGAACAGAAGAAACTAGAGGTTGGGAAGGATTGGGGAAGAAAGGAATAAGGTTTGTTAGAAGATACAAAATTACAACTAGATGGGAGGAATAAGTTTTAGTGTCTTATACAATTGTAGTATTAAACTGTAGTTAACAATAATATAATATAAAATTTTGAATAGCTAGAAGGAAGTTACCGAATGTTCCCCACACAAAGAAATAATAAATGGGATGATGGATTACTAATTACTGTGATCTGGTCACTATACTTATATATATTGAAACATCACTATGTACCCCATGAATACATATAATTATTTTTTTCAATAAGAAAGAATATAATTTAAAAAATATTACATGATACAGTGATCAGAGCAAAGAATATCAAGAGGCAAACAGATGTTCTACTAATGATTAAAGCTTCAATTTAACAAGAACATACAGTAGTCCTAAACATATCTACCAAGTAATAGAACTGTCAGTTATATGAAGGATAACTGTTAGAACTGAAAAAAATGCAAAAATTCATACATATTTTTGAAAATTTAAACATCTCTCTCACCTATTGATGGAACTAAACAGAAAATTAGCAAGGATGCAGAACTCAATCCTATAATCAACCATGGGATCTACTCTACATTTATAAAATACTCCACCCAACTACAATGCTATACATATTCTTTCCAAGTGCCATAGAACATTCACCAATATACACTATATCAAAGACCATAAAATAGATTTCAACAAATTTAAAAGAATTGAAATTAAACAGTGTATTATTTTACCAAAAGCTAGAAACAATCAAAGCATCCTTCAATAGGGGAATGTTTAAACCAACTATGATACATCCATATCATATAATAATAATCAGCAATGGAATGGAAAAAACTGTTGGTAATTTAACAACTTGTATGGACATAAAGAACATTCTTTTGAGTAAAAATAGTACTAATCTCAAAAATTTTCATGTTATATGCTTCTATTTATGTCACATTCTCAAAATAGCAAAATTATGAAAATTAGGAACAGGTTAGTGATAGCCAGGATAGAGGATGATGAAAAAGAAGAGAGTGAGTGTCACTATAAAGTGACAGCATGAGGAAGATTTTTGTGAGGTAGACTAGTTCTTTACTTTTATTGTCATTATGGTTACATCATTCTACACATACAATAAAATGACGCAGAACTAGACAATGTCCTGATTTTGATATTGTGCTGTAATTAATGTAAGATGTAACTAATAAGGAGAACTTAGTGAAGGTCATATGGAAGCTCTCTGAATTTCTTTGCAAGTTTCTATGAATCTAGAATTATTTTAAAATAAAATGTGTTCAACAAAGTAAATATTAGATAAATGTGTTGAGATATGTTTTATGTAAATGTCAGTATTCACAGGATAGTTTGGGATAAACGCTATTGCTTAAAAGATGAGCACATATTTATAGGCACAGGCTGTTAATAGATATCTGTGTCCTCTGCACATGCATTTGTATGAAAACTCTGCAGCAGACAGAAAACTAGATAACAACTAGTTTATCTCCCTGTGTATTGTCCATGAGAACGGTTGAGTCTCTGTTCACTTAGCTTTGGCTCTTGATATGCTGCAGAACATATGAAACTGAATAAAATCTTTAGGTAAAAGTTTAGGTTAGAATTAAGATTATTTTTGACAATGAAATATATAGTCTGCATTAAATGGTTTGAGGTTCTTTTAATTACTAGAAATATTGTTTTATTATATTGCATTAATCCAAGGGCCTTTGGGTGCCAAATGCCAGTCTATACACATCTACAAATGAGCACTAATTAAAATGTCAGAAAAAAAATTATATTGAGAGAAAAAAGACAAGCTAAACACTGGGAGAAAATATTTGCAAAACATAAAGGACTGGTATCAAAAATATACAAACAACTCTTATATCTCAACAATAGAAAAGCATATAAGTCAATTAAAAAATGGGTGAAGGATCTGGGCAGATATCACACCAAAGAAGACACCCAGACGGCATATAAGCATATAAAAATATGCTAAACATCACGCCATCTGATAATTTCAAATAATACTAAAAGATATCCCTACATATCTATAAGAATAGCAAAAATATTAAAAAATAACGACATAAAATTCTGGCAAGGTTGCCAAACAACAAGAACTCTCATTCATTCTTGGTGGAAATGTAGGAATGACACAGCCACTTTGGAAGAGAGTTTGGGAGTTTTTCACAAAACTAAATATACACCTACCATATGATCCAGCAATTGTGCTCCTGGATATTTATCCAAATGAGTTGAAAACTTATGTCCACACAGAAACTTGCAAATGAATATTTATAGCATCTTTATTCATAAATGTCAAAACTTGGAAGCATGTGAGGTATCTATTCTGGACTGAATTGTGTTCCCGCCAGATTTGTATGTTGAAGCCCTTAGGCCCAGAACATTAGAATGTGACTGTATTTGCACATAGACCTTTTGAGAGGTGATTAAGTTAAAAGGAGATCCTTAGGGTAGGCCCTAATCTATTATAGTTGATGTCCTTAAAAGAAGAAATTTGGACACACTAAGAGACATTAGGGATGTGCACACACACACACACACACACACACACACACACACCATGGAGGTCACAGCAAGAATGCACCCTCCTACAAACCAAGAAGAGAGGAAAGAAACCAAACCTCCAGAACTGTGGGAAAATACATTTCTACTGTTTGAGCCACCCAATCTAGTATTTTGTTATGGCAGCCTTAATAAACTAATAGAATGTCTTTCAGTAGATGATGGACAAATGTGATACATTTATACAATGGAATATTCCTCAGTGCTAAAAACAAATGAGCCAGCAAACCATCAAAAGATATAGAGGAAAGTTAAATGTACATTGGTAAGTAAAAAATGTCAATCTGAAAAGACTATATTCTGTATGATTTCAACCACATGACATTCTCAAAAAGGTAAAACTATGGAGACAGTAAAAAGATCAGTGGTCATCAGGAGAGCAGAGAAGAGAGGGAGAAAAGGATAAGGGGAGTTTTAGGGCAAATAAATAAGGGAGTTTTAAGGAATGAATAAGAGAGTAAATAAGGGATGAATAGAGGAGTTTTAGGGATAAGGGATAAATAAGGGATGAGTAAGAGAGTTTTAGGGCATGCCTATTATGTGTAATACTGTAATGGTTGACATATATCATTACACATTTAAAACCTATAGAACATTCAACATAAAGAATAAATTCTGACACGTGGACTAGTTAATAATAAAAAGTAAACTAGGACTTAGTGAATATTAATATATTAATATTAGCTCACTAATTATAACAAATATACCATACTGATGCAAAATGTTAATAATGGGGGGAATGAGAAAAAAATAAAATGAGGGGGCATATAGGAACTTTGTACTTTCTGCTCAATTATTTTTGTAAACCAAAGACAGTTTAGAAAACAAAGTCTCTTCATGAAAATATAAATTTAGACACCTTATCTTCTGCAAAATGCATTACATAGCACTTAGCTGCCACATTTATTTTATATTGATTGAATGGATTCAGAATATATAAAGAATAAATACATGATTTATAATTGCTTAAAATTCCTATTATTTCCATGTCTTATACTGTCATAGTCCATTTGGGCTACCATAACAAGGTACCATAGGCTGGCTTATAAACAACAGAAGTTTATTTCATACTGTTCTGAAAACTGGAAAGTCTAAGATCATGGTGCTGACAGATCCAATGTCCACTAAGGGTTCATTACTTGTTCATAGATGGTACTTCCTCACTATTTCTTCATGTGGTGGAAGGGGCTAACTAGTCATCTGTGGTCTCTTTTATAAGAACAACAATTCTATTCATGAGGGCTCTGCCAAAGTCCCCAAAGTCCCATTTCTTAATACCACTACCTCCTGGGTGAGAATTTAAGCATATTAATTTTGGGAGGACAAAAACAATCAGACCATAGCATATACTAATTAAGTAAACAAATCACAAGTTTCTACAATCATTTTGAAGAAATCTCTTTCAAATATATTCATTTTTTCCACTTTTTCTTTTTTTATGAACAGAAGACAATATTTATCCTTCTACAGGAAATTGTCACCTCATTGAATATAATTTTGCTTCCTGGATCAAAATTCCAAGTGCTGCTTTGATACTTCTGGTTTCTTTCCTTCCAGGTCTTCCCTACCAAGCTTCATGAGATAGTCTCCTTTCTTTTGTTCTTTCCTTTTTTTCCTCTATCCTCCTCATCTCACTCTTTTTCCTCTTTCATCTTTTATGCTTCTTCTCATCTCTAAAACACTTCTCAACAAAAGCAATAATATTTCTTTGCCAGGATATGATTTTCATTTAATGAACAAGAATGAAAGTGAAAGTTAGAATTTCCTGGAGAAAAGAATCCTGTAAATGACTATCACTCTGATGGTTATCAGAATATTTCCAGAAAACAAAAAAGAAAGTAAGTTTTTGGTAAAGTCTGAGGAAAGTCCTAGAGTTAAATGTGCCTTATTCACAATTTTACCCACAGTTAGCACTGTTCAAAAGAACGGAATGCACGCATACAAACACAGAGACCCACATAAAAACAAACAAGCAATGTTTAAACACAGTATCACCTTTAAAATTATGAGACAATATTAGAGTTTTAATTTCATTAATAATCTTAGCATCATTTAAGATGCTTTATCCATATGATATTTTAGAAATATATTTACTATTTATTATATTGGACGTACCACATATCAAAGCATTTTTTCCTGGGTCAAAAAAACTTAAATTTAATAAATTAGTTAATGTTGAAGGAAGTGCCCTTCTAATCAAATAGAAATTTTCAGCTTAATTTAATTAGCAAGTAAAGAGAACACAGATTATTAATTTCTTCTTAAAAATTTGACAGAAAATGTATGTATTAATGCAACATATGACGAATGTTAAAAATTATACAGTGACTCTCACATTATTAAATTTGATGATAAATAGGATAACATAGGAGGGATGGCCACAATATGTTCATGTTATTATTGGTAGAAATTAAGAGTGCAATGTATTAGTCTGGTATGTCTTTGAATAATGTTTCCAGTAGTGGTAATAATTGTTTAAACCTAACAAATCTTTCCAAATCTTCTTTGTCATCACTGCTCACATTTGCCAGATAAGAGGATCAAGCAAGAAAAAATAATATTTTAATTACCTAGATTTGGGAATTGATAAATAGGATCATTAATACTGATACCAGTCTTACTATATTGAAGGGTTTAATGAGTTGATTGAAGAACCTGGTTCACTCGTGAGGGTACAACGAGATTATCTGGAATTTAAAGCCACCTAAAATAGATTTGGCAGCATATTTATTCATTAAAGGTGGAAGAAAAGGGGAGTAGCTTCTAAAGTTTGAATGTGTATTGGAAACTTAATGCCCAATGAACAGTTTTAAGAAATAAGACTGTTAAAAAGTGACTAGGTCATTAGGGCTCTGCCCTCATGAATGGATTAACACCATTATTAAAAGATTGGGTTAGTTATCACAGGAGTGGGTTTCTGGTAAAAGGTAAGTTCTTCCTTCTTTCTCTCACTCTCACTGTTGCTCTCTTGCTTTTCTACCTTCTGCTTTGGTATGATGCAGCATGAAGGCCCTCACCAGATGCTGTTGCCATGCTCTTGGACTTCCCAGCCTCCAGAACCATGAGCTAAATGAATTTCTTCATTTTTAATAAATTACCCAGTCTCAGTTATTCTGTTGTATCAGCAGAAAACAAACTGAAATGGTAATTAATGCCTTATTGGGCTCTAAAATAAATTTTTTGAAACAATAATTCTAATAAAAAGAATATTTAAAGAAATCAAAATATTCTAGTTTAGCATCAATATCAGAGCAAAGTTATGAAAGTATGGTAGAAGACCTGACCCACTGAAGGAGAGTAAGGAATCTAGATCAAATATAAATAGTCTGATGTAAACTTAAATAATTCCTAATGAATATCAGTTAGCATTCATTTTATCAATACTGCTGGTGCCTTTTCCCTCAAAATAATTTTCCTGTGCATGAACTACTCTACTTCACCCTGCTTGATAATTGTTTTTCAGTAGTCTAAATCTTAAGCCAATGTTCAAAAATGGCTCTTCAATCATTCAAGAAGATCTTCACAATGATTTCGTCCTTCGGAGAAAATTATTTTAGATTAACTCAAAAAATATTACCCTTTCTTTTAAAACTATTTTTCTTTTAAAAATCTTAACTGATAGGTAAACTATGAAATCTGCATACTAGCTAGTTCTATGACTCTCTTAATTCATGAGCTATATTATAAAACTAAACTCATTTAGACCATAATATCTTTTCATAGATTTCTAAATCTAGGATTTTCTTCTGTTCCTTTCAGAAAAAAAGTTAGCTTGAAGTAATATATTTATAACTTAAATATTTTTAGAAATATTATTTTCTATGATCTTTTATTATGTGGGTAGGTAACAAAAAACTTTTATATTTCACTACAGAAAAATAGGTAACATTTATTATTTCATTTTCACCACATAATATTTTAAAAGTATCACTAAAAACATGAAACTTTTATATTTATCATATATAACTTTTTTCTTCACCCACATACATAAACTGAAACAAAAAAAAATGGTGGTAAATACGTACACACTAAAACACTTCAATCACAATGGTTGGCTCTAATTGGGGCATTTGATTTTTGCCTTTAAAAGGGTCTATATTAATAATAGAAGGGATTAGAAAACAAATAAAGGAAAGCTAATGAATGTGACACTGGGAATTAATAGTTTAGCAAAAGAAATGATTACAGAAGTTTAGAGTCTTTATAGAAAAATAATAAAATGTAATATTTAAAATGTAACATGAGAAATGTGTGGTAGTGAGAACCAAGAAAGAGTTCAGAATTTTCCTCCAGCATCTGCAGTTGATTATTCATGTAGCCTTGGTCAATTGATTCATAATCTTTTAGTCTCAAAGACATCTGTAATATAACAATGAAAATGGAATGTATATATTTCAGTGATTATCAAAGAAATGTATCAGATCAAGTTGTGAATGTCAGAGTTATCTTAACCAAATAATTAAGATTTGAGTGTCACTGTAAAGAAAAAGTGGGAGCTTACTATATCGATAAAAGGGGAAAAAAAATTTAGGGGATGGGGCAACGTACAGAAATCCAAATGATCATAAAACACATTAGTTCTTATAAAACAAACTTTTTACTAGCCTCAAGATTATAAAACTCATCTGGGTCTCATCAAAAGTCAGTACATACTTTTACTTCTTCCCAGGCAGACACAGACACACAAAAATTAAAATACTTTGGATTAATTTACTACCCTTCCAAATTATATTCACTTATTGTCATGGAGTTTATACCCACACATACATACACACACACAACACATATGTGTATAAACCCACATTTCACTATTATTGACTTATACAATTAATAGGCATTTTGCTTTTCCCATTTCTCATTTTTATTGCAGATCCAAACTTATCTTAGAAATTATTTTCAATCTGCCTAAAGTATGTCATCGTTTTGCTTCCAAGTTTAGGATTATCTTAATCACTTCTTATAGGGCTGCTCTAGTGGTGATAAATTCCCTTAGCATTTGCTTACTTGTTGAGAACTAGAATCAAGAATGGAATCTTACTGTAGTCACTTAGATCTCATAAAGTGTGTGGGACCCAGGATGTGTTCCTTCTCTGAGCAGTTTCTTCTCACAGCCTCCTCGCCACTCTCTTAGTTAGATTCAGGGATTTGGGGGGGATCAAGATGCCCTCATGTGGCCTAAATTATATAATTCCCCAGTAACTCACTCACTCTGCCATGTTTGGGAGTCACTCCTGGTTTCCAGCCAGTTCTGGCCAAACACGATCCCTGTTTTCCTTCTCCTTTCTAGAATGTGGTGTTTCTTGTCTATTTTCTGTTGAGCTTCTATGTTCCCTCTTGGATAATGTATTCAAAGTGTGAGGTCGTCTACGTACTATTTGGTTCTTCTAAGTGGATGTGTCATGCTTGAAATGCTTCTAGTCAGACATCATTCCTGCATATGTCCATTTATTCCTTGGACTGCTTGTGGGTTTTTTTTTTTTTTTGTTTTTTGAGATGTTTGAGGGTTTGGGTGAAGGTTAAGATGTTCATTAAAGAATATAGTAACTTTTTACAGTTAGGGTGACAAAACAGAGCCCAAATGCCTGCTAAGTAGGACAGGGCTGGGTAAAAATACCCTATTTTGTATTTTAAATGGCTCATATAAGGAAGAGAAGGAAACAAATGGCATCATTACAGAATTTCACCAAACCAAAATGACAAATGAAGAAAAAGAAAGAATTTTAAAACTAGAAAATAACTAATAATATGACAGGAACAAACTTTACATGTCAATATTAACATCGAACACAAATGGATTAAATGCTCCACATAAAACTATAAATTTGTTGAATTGATTTAAAAAAAAAACATGATTTAACTACATATTACCTACAAGAAACTCCTTACCTGAAAAGACACATAGAGACTGGAAGTAAGGGGGTAGAAAAAATATTTCATGCAAACAGAAAACAAAAGTGAGCAGGATTGGCTATACTTAGATAAAATAGAATTTAGGCCAAAAATAGTAAAACAAACAAACAAAAACAAATAGGGACATTCTAGAATGACAAAGGGATCACTTCAGCAAGAGGATATAACAATTCTAAATACATATGCACCCAATGCTGGAATTGGGTTCGCATTCATAAAAAAAAAAAAAAAAAAAAAAAAAAAAAAAAAATATTGCTAGACCTGAAGAGAAAGAAAGAGATAGCCAGCAAGACAATAACAGTGAGGTACTGCAATACCTCACACTCAGTAAACATATCTTCTAGAGAGAAAAGCAACTAAAAACACTGGACTGAAATTAAACTTCAGACCAATTGGACCTAATAGGCATTTACAGAAATTTCTGCCCAACAAGTACAGAATATACATTTTTTTTTTTATCAGCACATGAAACATTCTCTAAGATTGACCACATGTTAGGACACAAAACAAGTTTCCAAAAATGTTTAAAAGCTCAAGAGTGTCAAGCGTCTTATCTGACCACAGTGGAATAAAACCAGAAATCAATACCAAGAAATTCAGAAAATGTATGAATACATGGAAATTAAACAACATGCACCAGACCAATCATTGAGTCAACAGAGGATTAAAATGGAAATTAAACTTTTTGAAACTAATAGCATGGAAAAAGTTTGTATGAATGTAAATTAGTACAGCCAATATAGAAAACAGTGTGGAAATATTTCAAAAAACTGAAAATAGAACTAACATTTGATTTGGCCATGCGTGGTAGCTCACACCTGTGATCCCAGCACTTTGATAGGCCAAGGTGGGCAGATCTCTTGAGATCAGGAGTTTGAGACCAGCCTGGCCAACATGGGGAAACCACGTCTCTACTAATAATAAAAAAATTAGCCAGATGTGGTGGCACATGCCTGTAGTTCCAGCTACTTGGGAGGCTGAGGCAGGAGAATCACCAGAACCTGGGAGACGGAGGCTGCAGTGAGCCAAAATTGTGCCACTGCACTCCAGCCTAGGGACAGAGCAAGACTCTATCTTAAAACAAAAACAAAAACAACTACCATTTGATTCAACAACCACACCAGTGGGAGTAAGAAAAATAACTCAATGTATATAAAAGAAATGTGCACTCATATGTTAATCACAGCACTATTCACAATAGCAAAAATATGAAATCAACCTAAGTTGATTCCAATGGGTAACTGGAAAAAGAAGATGTGGTGGTATATATTAATAATGGAATACTATCCAGCCATAAAAAATGATAACATTTTGTCATTTGCAACAACATAGATGGAACTGGAGGTCATTAAGTGAAACAAGTAAGACACAGAAAGTCAATATCACATGATCTTGCTTATAAGTGGGTGAGAAAAATGGTATACACTTGGACTTAGAGATTGGAATGATCACAATGAAGATTTAGCAGAATGAGTGGGTGAATGCTGATAAAGTACTTAGTAGGTACGGTGTATCTTATCTGGGTGATAGATACTCTAGAAGTCCTGACTTGAGCACTGATATGGTTTGACTCTCTGTCCCCACCCAAATCTTATCTTGAATTGTAAATGTTGAGGGAGGAAAGCGATTGGATTATGTGGGTAGTTTCCTCCATGCTGTTCTCATGATAATGAGTGAATTCTCACAAGATCTAATGGTTTTATAAATGGCAGTTTTTTCTGCACTCTCTCATGCTCTCTCTCTTGCCTACCGCCATGTAAGACATGTCTGCTTCACCTTCTGCCATTATTATAAGTTTCCTGAGGCCTCCCTAGCCATGCAGAACTGTAAGTCAATTAAACCTCTTTCTTTTATAAATTACCCAGTCTCAGGAAGTTCTTTATAGCAGTGTAAAAACAAAATAATACCACCACTGCATAATATTGCACTTCTATGCCATAAATTTATACAATTTTTTAAAATTAAATTAGAAAATGATTTGAACATACATTTGTCAAAGAGAGACATACAAATGGACCAAAAACATATGAACAAAATGGTCAACATCACTAATCATCAGAAAATGCAAATCAAAACCACAATGAGGTATCACTTCACCCCAGTTAGGATGACTATTATCAAAATGTCAAAAAAATAACAAATGCTGACGAAGATGAAAATAAAGGAAACGCTTATATACTGTTGGTAGGAATGTAAGCTAGTAAAGTCACTGTAAATAAAAGTATGGAAGTCCTCAAAAGCTATAAATGAAACTACCATATGATCTAGCAATCCCATTACTGAGGATTTATCCAAAGAAAGAGAAATCAGTACATAAAAGAGATATCTGAACCTCCATGATTATTTTAACACTATTCACAATAGCCAAGCTATGAAATCAACCTAGGTATCCAACAGGAGATAAATGAATAAAGAAAATGTGGTATACATACACCATAGAATACTATTAAGTCATAGAAAATAATTAAATCTTGCCATTCATGACTACATTTATGGAACTGGAGGACAGTATGTTAGGTGAAATAATGCAGGAAGAGAAAGTTAAACACTGTTAGTTCTCACTCATATATACAAGGTAAAAAAAAAAAAAAGTTAATCTCATAGAAGTAAAAAGTAAAACAAAAGATACTAGAGGGTGGAAATACTAGAAAGGGATATATTTGTTAAGGCAGTCAAAATTATAGCTAGATGGTAGAAATAAGTTCTAGTGATCTATACCACTGCAGTTTAACTATAGGTAATAATATCTTATATAATATTAAATAGCTAGATGGAAGATATTAACTGTTCTCCACTAAGAAATGATAAATGTTTGAAATGATGGATATGCTAATTACCCTGATCTGATTACTATATATTATATGTATCAAAATATCATTATGTACCCCGTAAACACATACAATTATCATATGTCGATTTTAAAAATTAATAGCTTTCTTCTAGAGAGAAATTGATTCCAAGTGCCAGACTGCCTTCTGTATTTCTCCTTCTTATGAATTTTGACCTCTATTCTTCATTGTATTGTCTTTATTTGATAACATTGATGATATATATTTAATATTTTGAATGGGTTTTGTACTTAATATGAATGAGTTTTGGTTTGAATAACCTCATTTTTTTGCTATCAGGTATATGCATTCTGGATGTTGCATATTATTTTCCATCATTTATTTTTATATTTTTTACCAATGTAAAACTGATTTTATTACATGGCTCTACTAATATTCAGCTGAGTAAAACTTCTTTTGAAATTCTTATTTTTAATATACCTGTCATGGGTATTATTTGACATTTTTTATGTAAACTTTAGGGCAATATAATCCAATTTAAAAATCCTATTTGTATTCATAGTGTAGGTGCAATAAGATAACAAAAAAAATTAATAGTACAAATATGCTTATATATTTTGGCTCGCACTTATAATTATATCCTGTAAAGACTGATAATTTAAAGTACATTAGAATTTCTGAGAGTTCAAGGTAATTAGACATAATATGAATGTAAAAAATTATACTTTATTGCCATTATAATATGAATTAGTCACCCAGAAATTAAAATGCAAAAAAAATTTAGAAATTGCTCCACAAGTTATAAAATTCCTAAAGAATATGTTGAAAAAATGATAAAACCCATGTGAAAAGAATATAAGGCCTTATTGAAAGACATAAAATAATCTGAAAAAATAAAATTAATTAAAAAATATAACATGTTCTTGAATAAGTGGTGTCAGTAGTGAGAACATTAACTCTTTGCCAGTTATATTGATAATAAATATATTTAGGTTGTTTGATTCTTTTATTCAGTTATCCCCTTTGCATCTTTGTATCACTTATTATTATTCAATTCAAAATTATTTTAATAATTTCAATTCAGCATTTATTTTTATTCAAAATTTTGATGTAGTTTTACCAGTCTTACAGCGCCAAATTTTTAGATACTCCTACTTACAATTTTGTCTTGAACCACAGGCTTTTGGCACACACTTTCTCTGAGTTGACTGTTTTTTTCATCCTTAGTTTGACTAGTTAACTTCTACTTACCCTTCAGATACTATCTTACTGTATACTGTTTCAGAGAATTTGTTTTCTAGGAAAGAGAGAGAGCTAGAGTGAACAAAAGCAAAAAAAAAAAAAAAAAAAAAAAAAAAAAAAACCAGATTAATTCAAAATAAAGGTCTGAGACAAGGAAAGTGAATGGACCTTTGATTCCTAAGATAATACAGTAGAACTGGTGCTGAAATGTGTATTATTGTCATGAGTGATCACCGCTTAGTTATTTAGCTTCTCAAAGGAACTAAATATGCTCAGATAAAATTCACAAAGGATATTAGTAACTTTAGTTTCAAGATGAAAGCCATAAGGGCTTACCCTGCCCTATTGTCTAATCTTTGAAAATTTAATAGCAGCCAAGGCAGCAGCAAAAAATAGTAGCTGGCATTTATTGAGAACACTGCCAACGTATAAATTCATTAATTCTTACTATAGCCCTATTAATTTCACACTATTATCACCATAGCACAAGTAGGAAAACTAAAATTCCAAAAGGTAAAACATATAGTCCAAGTTCATGTGGCTAGTAAGTTCCAAAGTCAAAGATCAAAGCCAAGGTCTTTTATATTAGGCAGCCCACTACTCTAACTTAATCTTCTCATTCCAGCCTTATTTTCTCTCATTTAAATTTGGTACATAAGACACCAAATATTTTAATTATTGGTATTCCTTTTTTTTTTTTTTTTGAGATGGAGTCTTGCTCTGTTGTCCAGGCTGGAGTGCAGTGGCATAATCTCAGCTCACTGCAACTCCACCTCCTGGATTCAAGTGATTCTCCTGCCTCAGCCTCCTGAGCAGCTGGGATTACAGGCACATGCAACCACACCCAGCTAATTTTTGTATTTTTATTAGAGACAAGGTTTCACCATGTTGGCCAGCCTAGTCTCGAACTCTTACCTCAGGTGAACCGCCTCGGCCTTCCAAAATGCTGGGATGACAGGCATGAGCCACCGCACTTGGCCATAATTACTGGTATTCTTAAATATAAAGTAAATCTAACCAATTAAGATTTTTTAATATCTAGAACATTTTTCATGTACAAATTTTTGAAGAATCTAGAAATATGAGATTGAACTTGTTTCTCATGGAACTTTAAAGTCTCAGATGTTATAAGGATTATATGCATGCAAGTAAAATCAAATAGTAATTTAATTGGGGTACATCATAAAAGTATCCAATTGAAAAATTGTCTATCTCTGAAAAAGAAGTAGTAGCAAACACATAAATATTTGTAACATATATAATTATTTATATATTATATATAATATTTTACATATGAATATTAAATTTACATATATTCATATATAAGTACATTTAAATCTTACAACTCTATCGGGTAGTGTATTAGGCCATTCCTCCATTGCTATAAAGAAATACCTGAGACTAGGTAATTTACAAAGAAAAGAGGTTTAGTTGGCTCACAGTTTTGAAGCTTTACAGGAAATATGATGCTGGTGAGATGGGAGAATTCCCTTGACCCTTTCATGGGACTTGTGACAGTGGTGTGGCTCCTTTACTGGGCTGCTGAGCTCACACCCCTGGCTGGAAGGGGAGCCACAGGTGAGTGGGTGCAGGATCTGGGGCGAGTGCCTTTGGGCACCAGCAGGAACGAACGCTGTACCTGCCTGCAGCAGTGTTTAAGGGTTGCTCAGGACCTCTGGAGCCTCAGATGTGCTCTTTTAGCTTTGCTGTCCATAGATCGCTTAAGTGTTAAACAGCTCAGTGAAGAGTCAGCGTGACAGTCTTTTTGGATTCCCACACCCAGTGTATCCCCAATTCTTTTCCAGCATCCAGGAAGAATCAGGTCACATGAATGGATTGAAGGGTGGTGTATGCAGAAAATTTTATTGCCAGTGAAAGTGGCTCTCAGCAAGACGGGGAGCTAGAAAGGCGATGGATAGTATTCCATGGTGTATATGTGCCACATTTTCTTAATCCAGTCTATCATTGTTGGATATTTGGGTTGGTTCCAAGTCTTTGCTATTGTGACCAATGTGGCACATGTATACACATGTAACAAACCCACACGTTGTGCACATGTACCCTAGAACTTAAAGTATAATAAAAGTATATATATATATGTATATATATATGTATATATATATGTGTATATATATATGTATATATATATGTGTATATATATATGTATATATATATGTGTATATATATATGTATATATATATGTGTATATATATATATGTGTATATATATATGTGTATATATATATGTATATATATATGTGTGTATATATATATATGTGTATATATATGTGTGTATATATATATATGTATATATATATATGTGTATATATATATGTATATATATATATGTGTATATATATATGAAAGGAGATGGAGCGGGAAGATAATCTTCCCCTGGAATTTGGCTTTTCCTGGTGGAACTCCTCTCTGACCATAGTCTCTAAGGTCCAGCTGCCTTTTCTCCTCTCATTGTTCAGATACTTCTTCTCTTCTCTCCTTCTTTGCCACCCCACTCAGCTCCTCTGCCAGTGGAGGTTGGGCTGTTTATGGGTACTGGATGGGGGGCATGGCAGGCCAGGATGGTTTTGGAAAAGGTAACATTTGGGCGGGAAAACAGAAATGGATTTTTCTCATTTAGAGTCGCAGGTCCAGGCTTGAGGTTGGAGAACTTGCCAAGGATCCCATCGTCTTCACCCCAGTATTTTGCTGCCTCCTGTCCATATCACTGTCATCTGCTCAGGTTCTGGGGAGGCCGCAGGAACTATGGCATAAGGTGAAGGGGGAGCAGGCACATCACATGGCCAGAGCAGGAGCAAGAAAGAGGGAGAGCATCTGAAGGAGGTGCCACACACTTTTAAATGACCAGATCTCGGGAAAACTCAGAGAGAGCTTACTTATCACCAAGAGGATGGGCTAAGCCATTCATGAGAGATCTGCCCCCATGATCCAGACACCTCACACAAGGCCCCACCTCCAATATCGGGGATTACTTTTCAGGATGAGATTTGGGTGGGACAAATATCCAAACTATATCAGGTGGTTATCAATATTTTCCCATTTTACAGCAGAGGAGACTGAGGCATCAAGAGACATAGTAAATTTCCCCAAGTTACAAAGCTAGGATGCAGTAGAGCTGGATTTTACATATATGAAGTCTAGCTCCACAGTCTGTGCTGTTAAAATCATACTTTGCCTGTCAGCATTGAGAGACCAAAGTGCTGAGGTACAGTTAGCAAACTAGAATCACTCTTAAACTTAATGGTCACCTCTCAGTGCAGACTAAATCCTAGCAATGTGCCCTTTACTCTTTTAAAAGGTGTTTTTGGAGGAGAGAATAAACAAGTGGTTAAGAGCACAAGCTCTAGAATCAGTTATATCAAGATGAAATGCTTGCTTAATTACTTACAACTTTTAAGACTGTGTGTGATATATAACCTTTGTTTGCCTCAAATTTCATGTTTGTACGATAAGAATAAAAACAATATCTCCTTGAATTATTTTAAAGCTTAAATAAGAGAAGAGGCACAGAATACAATTTTAATTTATCTTACCAGTCACCTATGACCCCTTGCAGATATAGAACTTACACAAAGTAAATGCTTAGAATGAAGGAAAGTTTCCATGAGTGGAAGAGGAGATGTATTCAGGTTCTTGAAGGAGGTAAAGGTCTTAGATCTGTATGTGAATCAGCTCTTAGTGATCTCATCTAATTCCTGGTACAAAATGGAAATGATCATTCAGTTTTGAGAAGAGAAAAATGTAAAAGGAGCCTCGTTTAAAAAAAAAAAAAGTTTTCTCAATTTATAAAGATCTCTTCCCCCAGCCTGCATTGCACTTAAATGGCCCAGAAAAATAACTATTATCCCACCAGCACTTACCACTTTATTTGCTTTCTGCCACTTTATTGATTTACCTTTAATGCATAATTATCTAGTGTGCTTACCATTGCTAATTCAGGCCCATCTTAACTTCCCATCAAATGAAGACTCTCTCATTATTCTCAACCAAGCTATTTCTCTCCTTCCTTTTCCTATTTCCTTAGCCCTGGCTACACTAAATTAGAACTTTGGAGACCGTAAATGTAAATGAACTGTTTCTGTTCAAATTTCTCAGGCATCAAGCACCCATTTATTACTGTGGCCACTATTTCAATTGCTGATTTGTTTTGTCTGTGAATAATGAAACCATCATTTTCTATTTGCCAACTTTAATGGGACATTTGAAGAATGCCAGGACCCGAAATGACTAAGAAAGACACCGAGACATCTGGAGAAGGATGATGAGAGACAGGCTGAAATAAAATAAAATGGCAACAACAGCACAACAAAATAAAACAACACAAAAAGGCTAGATATGCCTGAGAAAGAGAAAATGCCCACTGAATGGTGTTCCATGGGTGGTCCCAGACTCCAAAGAATTTACTGGCCAGAAGTTAACATTTAAAATTTCACTAAAGTCTAAAAACATGAGAAAGGTCAAAAAACTCAAACATCCCATTCCAGCCCCCTTTTTGCCAATTTGACCACTTCTCCCTATTCAGGGAAAACTTCAAACTGGTATATGATGTATCTGAATCTGCTAACACTTAATAAGCTTCTGTCATGGGCTTCAACCCTAATTATGTTTGATTCTTTACAGAGGTATTTTTATTTTAATTGGTATATAACCAAAAACTCTGTCAAACTGAAAGAAATAGTGCAGCAATGATGGAGATTTAGGCAGTTGTGTGTGTTGCTTCAGATTACATAACCAAAAAAATTTTTTTTAAAGTGAGAACGGGATATTTTAAAGGCAACTTAGAATATGACAAGGCTGCTGACAGTTTTTCACATCAAAATTAATAAGTAGCTATGTATATTATCTTCAACATTTTTTTGTACAGATGACATTGAAGAACTAAAATGAATGCCATACTTGGTAATAAGAAAAAGTAGAAATTTTTTGGAGAGTTTTTCTTTTCAGTTCTGTCTATTTTAGACAAGACTTTAAAAATCTGTGGAATTGTATTATATACAATTACCTAATAATTTCTCTTCATGTCTAAATATTCAGAATTTTTATTTTTAAACATTAGAATCTGAAAGAATAGTGAATAACAAACCTAAATAATTGCTTTTAAAATATACTGTCATTTCACGTAGTTAACAGGTAATGGTTTTAATTTTGTCAGTGATTTTACAGACTTAAAAATATGAAAGGATAATTTTTTAAAAAAAGCTAAAATTATGACTTAATACAGATGTAAGCTGAACACCTGGTAAGTACTTTTTAAGCTCAATATTACTGATAAAAACAGGGCACATCTTTCTACTAGTTTAAAGGTGAAGTCAAAGAAGCACAATTTTATACGTGTTAGAGTTAAAAATAGCAATGCCTTTTCAATGGGCGGCAGTCAATTGAACCTTCACAAGACTGAATTCATTTGCATGTCCATGTATGAGAATTATTTTGCATTGCTACAATAATCTATTTACAAAGTTGTAAAATAGCCCAAAGCCAATGAAAGGTGAAAATTAACACCCAGAAGGATGTGCTCAAAACAGTCCAGTTTTCCATTGGATATGCCTAAGACATGTTTTGATATTTCTAAATTCTCTTACAAAACAGCTCATTTTTGTTGTTTTAAAATGTCCTGTGACAGCAGTATCCTATATGTATTTAAGGTAAAGAAAAATGTTCCAGTAAATCCCATCTTGAGAAACTAAAAAAATACATTATAGCAATTGAGTGTTCAGGGTGCTGAAAAACCTGGTTTGAGAATTTCCCAATCCTGACAGGGAAGAAAGAGATGTCAATACAAAGCTGTTAAAACTGAGTAGCCTTCTAATTCATTCCACATGAATCTTACTACCTTCTAATGTGGGAAGCACTTTGAGAAGAAAATTTCAAATCAGATAAAAACTTGTATGTAAAAAATATGATTTGGAAGATCACCCAAATGAGAACAAACAAAAGGTAGGTATTCAGTGCCGCCTGTTGCAAAGGAATAAATCTTTATTACTTGCATTCATCATTTGGCATATGGCAACACAGGTAGGGGAGTGAGGGAACTTCATTGTGAAAAAAAAAAAGGAAGACTTCAGGAACTCTCTTAGTGGAGATTGTTGGTATGGTGATGCTAGAGGCAGGCCAAATAAAAGCAGGACATACCATAAACGGGTGGAGCATACCTAATCTGAAAATCTGATATTTGAAACACTCCAGAACTCAAAATTTTTTGAGTGCTGACATCATGCCACAAGTAGAAAATTCAATGCAGTCAAAACTTTGTTTCATGAATAAAATTATTTAAAATAATGCATTAAATTACCTTCAGGGTATGTGTACAGGGTGTATATGAATCATAAATAAGTTTTATGTTTAGACTTGGGTCCCATCCCCAAGAGAGTTTATTATGTACATGATGGTATTCCAAATTCAAAAAAATCTAAAACCCGAAAGGCTTCTGGTCCTAAGCATTTCAGATAAAGAATATTTGGGAACACATTTGACTTTCTCTGGTTATTCTGGAGCTCAAAGCAGGGATAAAAGATTCAGAAACAATATCCCAAAGTATGGACCCATGACACACTGAATACTTTCAACTGAAGGAAACTGGAAAGGTTTAAGAGGCAAGGTCTTTCTGACCTTTTTCTCTCCTCTTTCTCCTACTCCTCATTCTCCTGAAGCAAGTCATAGAAAGCAGAATTCCTCTTCCCCAAGGCAGGTCATAGAAACTAGAACCCCTCTCCCCTAAAGCAACCCGTAAAATCTATAAATGTCCCTCCCTCCTTTCTCCCTTCTCCCTTGAAGACCCTCATTCCAAATGGGTCCAGTCTCATATCCAGAAAGAAGACATGCTACACAAAGAGGCAGTAAGAATCTGAACAAATAGGCCTTCCCAGGTTTTCCCCTTTAGTCTTTCACTATTAGATCATACCCTTTTGTCCAATTATATTTCCACATGGCTGCCAATTCCTTATTGAAGCTAAGCATAAAAATAGACAGTTTTCCCTGAGTCTTTGAGTCTTCATTTCTGAAGGCCTCCATGTCATGTAAACTTTGATTAAATAAATCCTTTATGCTTCCTCTTGCTGTCTTTTGTTATAGGACTGTCAGCTGTGTCCCTTATGATGGGTGAGGAAAGATATCACGTCTTAGTGATTGAAGAAGTGATTACTGTTCTGAAACAATTGCTATAGAGGTTGTAGTTTCATTCCCTGGACTATTTGCTGGAGAAGCTGTGGTTCAGCTCCCTGGGATGGTTGCTGCAGAAGTTTTTGTTCAGAGTTCTATTTTCATATATGGACTGGCCATTGTCTGTTCGTATATTCAATCTCTCCTTTCCTCTTTTTGGTCATTTTCTCACTTCTAACAGGTTGACCAAATGAGGGAAGATTAGAAATCCAGATCTTCACCACTCACAGATAATCCTATTGTCTCCATAGTCAACTATATTGCAAAGTCTTCTTGACCTTTTCTTGTATCTTCATGGCACTCATCTTATGAGACAGTCACTAGGCAGAAGCACTTAAAACACTGAATAGAATGCAACAGACCAGCATTATGCCCACTGTGATAAAAATAAAACAATTAATTGTCCTCATAAGATGCTTTAGAACAAGGAACTATAATTTCTAAAGACAGATCAAGAGAACAAATGCCATAGGCTGTGAAGATTAATTTTAGAAAGCCAAATAGCTTTTTTCTTAAGGTGATATATTAAGGTTCTACTTTACCTGTTTAATTGATATAACTGCAAAGGAAAATATTAGCAATGGCACAGATACACAAGATCAGTCAACAAGAATTCCAGAGCAATGCAATTGTATATCACTACTCATGCCAAAGTGTTGAGAATGATCTGTCTTCCTTCTAGGGCAGAAGTGATATCATTAATTATTGCTGCCAGAATTCGTATGTTTCTTATAGCCTTTTTTTTTGGATGATTTTTACCATTGGGAACATTGTTCTGATTGTTGTATAAACAATGAATCAGTAATTCCTTCAGTTAGAGTGCCTAAATAACCAAAGTTAACTTCATTTTGGACCTTGTGTCTAAGTTAAGATTTTTAGCTTTGGGGATTTATATAATTAGAGTCTTGGTGTATAGCCAAGTCTTGAAATATTATTCCTAAATTTCATGAGGTTTTAGTACAAGCAAAAAATAACAGGTACCCTGGCCACAAAGGAAATAGTATCCAATAGAGAAACATGGAGATCTAGGAAACAAAGGAATCATTCATGATGTGAAGTTACACCCAAGGTCTTACATTATCTGAGTTACAGTTTTGAATTTCAGTTAGTCTCTTTCAGGTGTCAAGTATTTGGCTTGTAATTCTAGGATGGTTGTTGATTACAAATTAAGAATTTTCTAGAAAATTAAAAATATTTTTTTTTTTGAAAGAAAGGACCACTAGGAAAGTCATAATTTGAGTGTTTTTTAAAATTCATTTGTTCATGTAGGTACCTGAAAGCACCATTGACTGTAATTTTCTAAGACCTCATTTGATGAGACTAAAATTGTCCAGAGGTTTTTTTATCATGAGGACTCAGAGCCGCATGGCATATCTAGGAATCAGCAAGATTGAGGACAGTGGTTTCTATTTTGAAATAATCTAAAAATGGCACTAGAATGAGTATGTTCTGACCTAACAATTATAAAAAGGAGAGAAATGAGGAAAAGGGATACTATTTGTAGATTACAACCAGGTATTTATAGAAAATGAGAATTACAATAAACAAATGAAAAACAAAATAGGAATTAGACAGGGGTCTTGACGCAGCTCAGATACTGGTGTAGAAACTGTCCTGTACCTGAGATAATCTGCTTGTTCAAAGGTCTTGGTCAGGGTTTACTTCTGATTGATTACTTCTAGAAAATATCTGAGCATCATAGTTTGAGGTCTATTAATGGTTTCTTGCATTCTGCATTGCTTTCTCAGGTTGTGAAATCGGAACCTAGCAATTAACCCCCTGGAGTTTCACAGTTGTATTTGCTGTCAGCAGTACCTAATTAGGTTCTTTTTAACACGGTTTAAGAGCAGTTTTTCTCTGGTGTCTCTTCCAATAGATGAAATCTGGTTGAAGATCATGATGAGGCTATTTAAAAAGATGTGAGAAATGGCCTTAATATATCAGCGGTGGAGTGGTGGGTCTGAGTGTAGCACATGGGTCATTGCAATATTTATCATATCTGCATTATACAGGATAGAGACTAGTACCACAGACAACATTCTTAAACGTGTGAGCCTCCCAGATACCAGTTATAGGAAGATCCTGATTTCTGGAACCAGTAATTTTGTTACTTTACACAGCACAAGGTTTGCAGATGTGATTAAGGTAAGAATCATGAAATGGGGAGGCTATCCTGGATTATCCAGGTTAACTGCACCAAATCACATGAGTTCTTAAAAGTGGAAAACTTTTCTGGACTGTGGTCAGAGGGAGAGATGTCATTATAGAAGAAAAGAACCAGAGAAATGACAGCATGAGAAAGACTGGACCAACCTTGGCTGGCTTTGAAGATGGAGAAAGGGGCCATGAGTCAAAGAATATAGGTGGCCTCTAGATTTTAGAAAAGATAAATAAATGAATTCTTCCTTACAGTCTCCAGAAAAGAACACAGCTCTGCCAATACCTTGGTTTTAGGCCTGATTAGGGTTCTAACCTACAGGAGGTTAAGTTAATAAATTTTTATTGATTAAAACCACTGTATCCATGGTAAGTTGTTCCAGCTGCAATAAAAAAACTAATACATCAGGTAACTCTGTTGTATGAACCTAAAAGAATTATAAATTATTTTATAAATAGTTGCTGGCCTTGCCCAACTTTATGGAAATATAAATTTTTACTTTTCTGAAATACAGCATTTTAAGTTGACATTTTATTATGGAAATATTTAATAATGACTCTTAATTTAACTCAGATCTGAGGTTTAAATTCTACAGTTGCCTGAGTACCTGATTCATGAATGGGATGGATTTTTGTGGGCAACTGACTTGAGGAAGAGAGAGAATTGAATATAGGAAGGCAACTTGAAAACAAGGAATGGGGGCATTAACTAAAATGTAAGTCTGTTTTCTGGTGCTTAAGTTTGTCAAATTGCTCATTAGCTTTGACCAAACAATCATTTAGAGAAGCGATTTTTGAATCAGAATTTCATTCTGGGTTTTCTGCATACCAACTAAAAAATGCTTTCCATTGAGGTTGAGTGATCTTGTTCTCTGTTTGTTTGTTTCTATTATGTCTCTTAAAAGAACAACATTTTAGAGTCAAATGTGCACACAGGATCCACTGAAGGTCCAAATGATCCTTGGTAAAGTTATGACATTTGGAAAGATAATATAATAGTTAACATTATATTCAGAATACATACAGAGGCAGGATTTTTTTTTTTCCACGAAGGAGGATAATATTTAGCCTTAAAATGCTTATAAGAGCTGGAAATGGCTGGTTGAAGTGATATATGTGCACTTCAGATCTTGGGCACCCCAATCTGATAGTTTGTTGCCTCCAAATGCAGACCTGACAATCTATGCCACCAGGCAAGCAAATGATCAAAGAAAATACTTTTTATTCATTAAAGCAAAGATCTCAGGACAAAACAAAAGAGATAGAGGGAGAAAGATTTTAACTGTGACCCACAGCAAAGTTCGTCTGAGGCTGTACCTATATGTTATATAAACTCAGTGGTTTGCGAGGCCTCCTTAAACCACAAGCTTACAGTGTCCATGCTTGTGTTCTATCCTGTGGCTCTCTTTCCTATGACAAGCAACACTACCACAATTTTAGATAGCATAACACAAAACAGAAGCACAAAAGAGAGCAAAAATGAATGAAAATGAATGTCCTGATCTCACCAAGAATGGCAAACAATGAGGAATTATAACAAAACTCAGGTAATATACTTAAGAATAAATAGCAGAGATACGTAAAGGATGGTTGAGTTCTGATGTAATGTTGACTTACCACGTTAGCATGGACTCAAGAAGCCCTCAGCAGCAAGGCACAAGGAGCCATTGTGAGTACCTCACTTGGCAGAAGGCTGGGGTCCACAGTGGCAGGCAGTGCAACTGTGTCTCAATGGAGCCTCTAGAAAACTGTGGAAATAAATGAAGACCACCCAAATAAGAACAAACACTATTTATTCAGAGCTTATGATATCATGGGTACCAGCTACCATCACTTGCATTTGGTGGAGACTCACAGTCACGCAAGGGAATGAACAAACTTAAAAGCAAGGGAAGGATTCGGAAATGCTCTAATTGGAGATGATTGATATGGGGAAGTTGAAGAGAATCCTATGTGAGTTGTTTGGGAAGTATTTTTGGTTTTCTTTGGCTTATCCTGCATTGAGATCAGAAGTAAACAGGAAAGCTGGATATTGTTGACTAAGTTCTCACCATTACGGCCCAGTTGCTACAGAGGTTGTGATTTGGCTTCCTGGCTGGTTGCTTTAGATGTTGCAGATCAGAGTTTTGTTGTCATCTGTATTTATTATCATCATTTATATATTCATTCAGTCACTCAGACTTATCAGATAATCCCTTTATTAATGCAGATTTTTTTGACAATATTAAACTCAATTACCTTTGCATCAACCTAATACTTAAGCTTCTCTTCTTCTCCCAGGCCCCTGAATTTTACCCACATTAATCTTCAACCAGCATACAGCTGAACATAGTCTAACTTCAGGGAATAATCTTTCCTAATTAACTCTGGTTTGGCCCCACTTCTCCGTGCTCAGTTCTTTCTAGACTTGTTCATTTCTCCCTACTAAAGAAAAGCTCTTTTCTGCCTTACCTTTGAGATGCTTGCAGATCTTATGACCTAAGTAGTCTTCCTGGTGCAATAGTCCCTCTCTCTTTATTGAAAATCTTTTTTTTTCCTTTTGCAATCATCTTTTCATTTGACAATTTTGCAGTTTAAAAATTCTCAGAATAGCTTAACTCCATCACAGGGAAATCTGCATTGCTTCTTATCTTTAGAATAAAACAAAAAGCTTTTGATATGACAACCAGGCAGTCTATCCAGTTTATTATCTGACAGCCAATTCCCATTAGCTCAGGACAGGTGGCTCCATTGAAATATAAGTATCAATACATTACTTAAATGAAATGCAAGTAGTAATTATCTGTCCCATGAACTATTCTACTGATTTTTCCTGAATGCATGTTCTTATTGCTTACTATATCTTTTGAGTGGGCATGGGGATGCAGTTATTCCCAAAATTTTCATTGGAAAATAACTTCTCAATTTTGCTATATAATCAGATTATTTTATCAGTCAGTAGAAGAGGGGGGAAAATGGAAAAGACAAGAAGAGGGATGAGAGAGAAGGAGATTTTTGAGTCACAAATGCACAAATGTGGCTATGCTAGCTCCCATTTTGAAGTATTACTGAAAATCATTTAGCATGAGTTGTATTTGCCAGAGCCAAAGATCCTTGACAGTAAATCGTAAAGTAGCAAAATAGATAGAAAGCGATCACAGACTGTGGTGATGAGAAAAGGGCTCAAAGAAATACCGAATGGCAACAACAGAATCAGTTTAAGTGATGGGGCCAAAGGTCCACTCCTTATCTGGAAAAATCATCAGAAAATCTCTGGCCTATGGGCGAAATCATTGCCTTATCTCTGACTTTTAGTACACTTCTCTATCTCTTATTTCCCATCTTTAAATTACTGTAACATATTATCCTTGACATATCACAAAAGTATTAGTGCTCTTCCAAAAGTAAACTCTTTATCAGTCACTTTATAACCTGTGTGTGGGAAACAATCAAGATAAGGCTATGGGGAGCTACTAATCTGGTGGTTAGAGAATGACACACATACACTGAGTGGACATAATTAAATATTGATTTTTAAATATACTCTGAGATTGGTCTATGATATAATTTTTTATTTTTTATTTTTTATTTTTTATTTTTTTTTTTTACTGTGGCTTGATTATTGTTGAAGAATATCTTACAAAAGAAGATAGATTTAATGAGTCTTTGAAGGATGATACAATGCTCAGAAATAGAGTGGTGGACATTCTGGATAATTCCACGAAGTGTTGCTGGAAAATTGAGAGGAGCCCGTATAAGAGACTAGAATATGCCACCTGAAGTATGCCTTTTTGGCACAGGAATTATATTGGGGTGATTATTTTTAAGAAACCACAGACATAGGCAAACCTCTGTAAACAGATGAAGAGTTACCCTTTTGTAAGACAAATTTACATTATAAAGGGAATGTCCGTTTGTAATGTAAAGGTGTCTCACATTCTCTAAGCTTCGTTAAGTTTAAGACACTTTTGTAAGGGATGATACCAGCTATTTAGCCTATCCCTAAAAAACTGAGGGTCCTGGAAATGTAACCATTTCAATGTCATCTTTTTATATTATTAACTTAAGAAAAATAGGTGCTCTTAAAATATTTTTTTAAGATTTGAAAACAAAAAGAAGTCAGAAGCCTAATCAGGTGAATGGCAAATGCCTAATAGGAGCTACATTAGGTGTAACGTGAATGCCTACTAATTTCCTATTGAAACTCTTGCAGCATTGCCCTTGTTTAACAAGAGGAATGAGCAAAATCATTGTCACAGTGGAAAAGGTCTACCTGGCGACAATTTCTTGGGCGTTTTTCTGCTAAAGTGCTTGCTAAGTTTCTGAAACCACACCCATAACCAGATGTTATGGTTCTTTTTTTTTTTTTTTTTTTTTTTTTTGAGATGAAGTCTCACTCTTGTCCCTCAAGCTGGAGTGTAATGGTGTAATCTAGGCTCACTGCAACATCCACCTCCTGGATTCAAGCAATTCTCCTGCCTCAGCCCCCTGAGTAGTTGGGATTACAGGTGCCTGACACCACACCTGGCTAGTTTTTGTATTTTTAGTAGAGATGGGGTTTCACCATGTTGGCCAGGCTGGTCTTGAACTCCTGACCTCAGGTGATCCACCTGCCTTGGCCTCCCAAAGTCCTGGGATTACAGGCATGAGCCACTGCACCTGGCCTGTTATGGTTCTTTGACCCTCCAGAAAGTCAACAAGCAAAATGCCTTGAGCATCCCAAAAAATTGTTACCATGACCTTTGCTCTAAACTGGTTCTGTTTTGCTTTGACTGGACCACATTTACATCTTAGTAGCCATTGGTTTGATTGTGCTTGTCTTCAGGATTGTACTAGTTAAGCTATGTTACATGCCCTGTTACAATTCTAAAAAAAAAAAAAAAAAAAAAAAAACAACAGAAAACCTTCAGCATCCATTGAAAGATCTGCTCTTGATTGGCCATTATGGCTCCAGCCTGTATTCCCAGCACTTTGGGAGGCCAAAGCAGGCAGATCACTTGAGACCAGGAGTTTGAGACCAGCCTGGCCAACATAGCAAAAGCCTGTATCTACTAAAAATACAAAAATCTAGCTGGGCATGGTGGCACATGCCTGTAATCCCATACTCAGGAGGCTGAGGCATGAGAATCACTGGAACCCGGGAGGTAGAGGCTGCAGTGAGCCAAGATTGGACAACCACACTCCAGCCTCATTGACTGAGGGACACTCTGTCTCAGAAAAAAAAAAAAAAAAAAAAAAAAAACAGAAAGAAAAAGAAACCTCTGCTCTTGACCTGGGCATAATGGTTTTTACACTCATTCAGTGGAAATTTGCTCAACTTTAATTTGTTAGTCAGAATTGTGTAAGCTGAACCAGTTGAGATGGCTATGCTGTTCTCTATTGATTCTGCTATTAATCATTGTTCATCTTCAATTAGGGCACCATAAAATTAATTTTTTCCTTGCACATTGATGTGGATGGTCTACTGCTGCGAGCTTCATCTTTAATATTGTCTCATCTCTACTTAATAGGAGTTATCCATTTGTAAACTACTGATTTATTTGGGTCATATTCCCTATAAACTTTTGTTAAGCATCAATAATAATTTCACCATTCTTCTACTCAAGCTTCAGCATAAGTTTGATGTTTGTTCTTGCTTTAGTTTTAGCAGAATTTATGTTCTTCTGATAGAGACCCTATTCAAACTAATGTCTTATCATTCTTAATGTTTCAAACTAGATGCTGTTCAGATATGTTTTAAAAAGTTAGTATACCTTTATTTTAGCATAAAGATTTTGAAATCCATGCATAGCTTTTTTATAACATGCATTTTCCATGAACATTTTGAAGACCTCTCATGCATGTTGATAAACTTCTATTTGTTTTTTCTTGTCTAATCTGTCTTCTGTTACAGAGTCCCCAGCTACGAACTTAGAAGAGTAGAGGGAAAAGAATATTTTCTTTTTGTGTATCAGCATGTCTAGAGTAAAACATAAAATAAGAAGTAGAGTTAAAAAAAAGATAGCAGGAGCCCATTTTCAGGAGCCCTTTAACCTTACTTTCCTTTTCATTATTATTATTTTTTTATAGAGATGGGGTCTTGCTATATGTTGCCCAGGGTGGTCTCAAACTCTTGGCCTCAAATGATCCTTCTGCCTCAGACTCCCTAAGTGCTGAAATTACAAGTGTGAGCCCCCATGCCTGGACTGCTTTCCTTAACTGTGACATAGTGCTCTTCTTCTAATGTATTATGTATGATACTTAAGTCATTTATTTTCATGCTTAAGACTTGTAGGGATGGAAAGGTTTTGATACCTTTTCTCACCCCTCCTGAGGGTCATGGCTAACACTCTTATAGCAAAAGACAGGTTGACACAAAATATACATAATAAATTTATTTAGTTTTATTAAACACGAAAACCTTCAGAAATGAGGCCCAAAGACCCAGAGAAAACTCCATTTTTATGCTTAGGTTTGATGAAGAATGAATAGCCACATACAAATGTAATTGGGCAAACAGGTATGATCTAAAGATAATAGACTAAGTGGAGAAACCCAGCAAGGTCTATCTACTCATATTTTTCTTAGACTTCCTATGTAGCATTCCTTCCTTATGGGTATGGGGCTAGACCCCTCTAGAAAGAAGGTCTTCAAGGAAGAAGGAAGAAGGGAGAGAGTGACTCTTGTAGGTTTTATGGCTTACTTTGAGGGAGAGGGGTTTTAGTTTCTATTGCCTGTCTTGGGGAAGAGGAATTTTTATTTCTATGACTCACTTCAGGGGAGAAAGAGGAATAGGAAACAGGAAGATAGGAGAAGGTCAGAAAGAACTTGCTTCTGAGATTTTCCAGTCTCTTTTAGTTCAAATACTCAATGTGTCTAAACATCACACTTCAGGTATTATTTTCTGGAACCTAACAGACTAAATTTTCTTCCTGGTACCATTTAGAACTTGTCCCATCTTTTATGATACATAATGCCTCACTTAATTGCAGTCCTAAATATTTTTTTGATTTAAAACTTATGTCATTATACTCCTAAATGTTTCAGAAATTTTTGTCATTGTTATTATTGTTGTTTCTGTTTGCTCTTAATTAATATGTCTACACACTGGATCAAGAGATTGAACTTTATGCTACCTCTGATTTTTGGAATTTATTACATTTTTGTGATCAAATTACGTGCTTGTGTCTGTCTTTTAAAGTATGTCACAGTTATTTGATAAGAGAGTATATTTTTTATTTGCTGATTAAATAAATATGTAATTCTTTATGTTATTTATTTCTTCTTTGTTCCTACTACTGTTTAAATGCTTGATCTTTTTTGATCAGATGAAAATATGTTTAGCTACTGCTATTAGTATTTTCTGTCATTTTTTCTTTATTTTCAAGTATTTAGTGCTTTATAGGTTTGATGTAAAAATCTGATGAAAGTTCAAGACATAGTTTTACTATTTTGAATGATATGCTTTATTTTTATATGAATGATTAACCTTTTGAGTTAAAATCTACAATTTATTTTCATATGAGGATATGTATATACATTACGCAATTCAAATAATTTTAAAAATGTCATTTTAGCAATTATTTGAAATAATTTTATGTTTTTTTTCCCCACATAATGTCTTATATATACTAGTAAAATTTCTGGACTCTCTTTTCTGTTTTATTGCTATAATTGGCTATTCTATAACATTGCCATACTATTTAGATTATTATGACTTTAAAATGCATTTTAATATTTGATAAGGCATGTATCCTTTTAATTATTTTTTCATATTTTTCTGCTTCTTTTATGTCTATATAAAGGTAAAATTAGAATAATTCTATGAAGTTCCAAATTTAGCCAAATTAATTTTTGCAATAGATTGTAGTAAATTGATCTTTTCATCAAGGAGAAAGATTTTTCTCAGAGTCTGGATTCAGATATTCTGAATTTGAATTCTGTGTGAAAACAAATAAGACCACCCAAATGAGAATAAGCAATGGCTATTTATTCAATGCTTGCTACAGCAAGGCAATCAGCTGTCATCACTTGCATTTGACAAAGACTCAAAGGCGAAGAGAAAAGTGTAAAAGCTTCACAATGAATTGAAGACTTCATTATGCCCTCATTGTAGGCTGTTGGCATGGGGAAGCTGAAACTAGGCTAACTAGAAGCAGACTACTTTATGTTATTGGTTAAGGATGCCTGTGTAGCGTTCGCAGATTGGCCTTACATTACAGGAGTGAAAATTAGGAAAGCTGTCAGATATTAATCAATTCCTAGTCATTTGGGGCTAATTGTTATAGGGGTTTAGTTTGACTTCTCAGAATTGTTATTAGAATTAGTAGTCTGGCTTCTGGGAACAATTTACTATAAATAATGAATGGGTTGGCTAGCTGGGCTGGTTGCTGGAGTTTGAGGGTCAGAGTTCTATTTTTATTTATGGTCTGGTTATTGTCCATTTGTATGTTCAGTCTTCCACTTGGCTCTGCTATTTACTACCTGCTTGATTTTAGGTAAATGATTTAAGCCCTTCCTTTCCTAAGTTTTATCCAATGTAAAATAATGTTAATAATAACATCTATTAAAAAGATTTTTGGTGATGATTAAAGGGTAGAGAACTTAGACCAGTGTCTGGCAAACAGTAAGTGATATTTACATGCTTCTTATATATTTTCTATTTCCTTGAATAGAGTTTGATAATTTTATAGTTTTATTAATATAATTTCTGTACATTTGTCTTTCCTATTCATACTTTTAACTAAAGATGTTTTAAAATATGTCTTGAAACTTGTATTTTAATATATCATAAATATATTGTACTTTGCATGTTTATTTTATAATTTATCATTTTCCCAAGCTCTCATATTATTTTAATAATTTTTAAATATTGTTTTTCAATTTTCTTTTCAGTTTTACACTATATTATTTACAAATCACATTGTGGTTTCCTTTCAAATGTTCATACTTTTTTTTTAATTGTCTAATGGCAGTGGTTAGAGCATACAATGTTTTTTAGATTTAATAATAATGCTTTTTATATTTTACTCATAAGGATGATGCTGGCCATTTGTTTGTAAAATTTATATTTAAATATATTAAGAATTATTATTCTATTTATTCTTTGCTAAGGAGTTTTATGAAAAAAGGATACTGAGTTCTATCAAATGCTGTTTCCCACATAAATCAAAGTTAATATTTTCTTTTAACCTATTAATATGATAGATTATAATTCTCCTAATACTAATACATATTGTTATTCCTGAAATGAATGTCAAAAACTCAGTTATTGGTATTTCTGTCTCATTTCCCACCTACTCTTTCCATGATTCACCTTAATTAATAGTAATTCCATTCTTTCAGTGCTTGGACCAATGTCATCTGGGAAGTCTTGTTGGTTCTGCCTACAAAACTGAGCACCTTTCATCACTGCCAAGATCACTGTCTTTAAGTCACCATTACCTCTTGATTGGATATTTGCAGTAGGTTCCAAATACCTGCTTCTGCTTTTATCTACTCTTATTCAGACAAATCTTGGCAGCTATGAGTAGACAGCTTTATCATATTACAAATGCCAAAATCTTTCTCAATGGAGAAATGCTAGAAAGATGGTCATGAAAGTAAGAAGCAATTCAAGGATACCCAATATTGCATTATGAAACATTTTGTGGAAGGGGTAAAAAATACTATTAGATAAGAAAAATGACTGAAAATTACAGATATTAGAATAAAGATGTATTACAGACTATGAGTTTGAAAATATAATAGAAAAAATCAAATACTTAATTTACCATGGCAACAAAAAAGAATAAAATATATAGTTATAAATTTAATGAGAAAGGTGCATGATTTAAATAAAAAGTTTTTAAAATTATATTAAGACACACGAACACATATACAAATAATAGAACAAGTGAAAAAGTATGCCATCTTCTTGGATAGAAATACTAAACATCACAAAGATGTCATTTTTCTACAACAGAAGAGTAAAAAGAATACTATTTCCCAAGAAATAAAACCATTATTTTATATATACCTGAGCTATAAGACACAAATAATAATAGAAAATTTTAGAAAAAAAGCAACTTACAGTAAAAGCAAATTGTAAAACTACAATGTGTAATACAGAACATTACTAGGCTACATTTTGGCATAATGAGGAAGTAAAGAGATTAGAAAGACTAGAAATAGAGGAACATATCTTTTGAATCTAGAACATGATAATCTATTGGGTGAAATAATTCTTTCAGAAATGATATGGAGGCAATTGGATAGACTTTTGGAAAAAATGTGATTCTGTATTTAATAGCTACACCAAAGTGAATTACAAATGCGACATATTTAAGTATGAAGAATAAAAGTATAAAAAAATGGACTGGAACAATACATGTCAGAATAGATGTTATCAAAAAAGCTTGTTAAAGAAAGTCTTCATAAGTATTCCACATAACTAAGAAGCCTTATGGGAAATACTAAACAAATTTGAGTACATGAAAATTTTTTTAAATTAAATATAATGAACAAATTTCAAATACAGTATCAAACTGATCATCATAATTCAGAAAATAGAATAATTTATTTCATGTACACGACATTCAGAGATGTACATTGACAACCACCAACAGTCAAATAAAAAGTGGGCAAAATATGTAAAGAGAGATTTTACAAAAAGGAAAATGCATGTTTTCTTAAGTATTAGTTGTGTTCAATCTTTCACATATGAGAGATATCCTAATTAAGGGTTTATTGATATACCAATGTTCAAGTATCAAATTAGTAAATAATGAAAAGTTTGATAACACATTATGGTGGAAAATGGTGAGGAAATACGTACACTTATTTTTGATCTGTTGATGGGAACAATGTCCATGAATAAATTTTGATGGTAAAAACAAAATTTGAATAATGTAGGTTTTATTCCTGAAATTCTATTTTTAGGAACATATTCTACTAATATATGCAGTTTTGCAAAATAGATATGCTAAAAAGTATTCAACACAGAATTAAATGTACAAAATTGGTAAATAATATAAATGTCTACTACTAGTAAACCAATTAAATAATATACTATGCATCTTTTATTGGAATAATAACGATATTGTCCAAAACAAACAAAACTTAAATATCTCCTAGATATATTTAAGTGAAAAAGAAAGATGTTTCAAGTATAAAAGTTAGAGTTTTGTGAAAAAATATATACCCGTAAAAAAGAGGAACAAGTCTTTAGAGATTATTCTTGCAAAAGACTAGCAAAACAACTAAGTTCTACCAAAATTGATAAAATTTTAAAGAGAAGGCACAAACTAACAATATTAGAAATAAGGAAGGTAAAGGCATAATGTCAAAAAAAGATGCTTTTGAAAAAAATCATAAAAAATATGTACGATTTTATGTCAACATACTTGAATATTGAAATGGCGAACTTTTTTGGAAAAATTATAAACTAGCTAAATTTACTAAAAGGATAAAAAAGGGCAGGGCACGGTGGCTCACGCCTGTAATCCCAGCACCTTGGGAGGCCAAGTTAGGTGGATTATGAGGTCAGGAGTTCAAGACCAGCCTGGCCAACAAGGTGAAACCCTGTCTCTACTAAAAAAAAAAAAAAATTAGCTAGGCATGGTGGTGTGTGCCTGTATTCCCAGCTACTTGGGAGGCTGAGGCAGGAGAATTGATTGAACTGGGACCCAGGAGGCGGAGGTTGCAGTGAGCTGAGATTGTACCACTGAACTCCAGCCTGGGGTAGCAAGACTCTGTCTAAAAAAACAAAACAAAACATGTACTTTAAGTGAATTGAATTGTTATTCAAAAATCTATTTACAATCTCTAGGCATGTTTTACCCTCCTTGAAGGAACAGGTGCCTATTTCTGTTAAGCTAGAATCATAGTATCTAAACAAAACAATAGCAAAATAAAAAGAAAAATATAGATAAATCTCATTTGTATTGGCCTGTTTTCTGTTGCTTATAACAGACTATTTGAAGATATCTTAAATTCCTTTTAAAAAGTAATTTATTTCTTACAGTTATGAAGGCTGAGAAGTCCAAGTTCCAGGGTCCACATTTGTTGAAAACTTTCTTGCTGGTGAAGACTCTTTGCAAAGTTTCTAAGCAACACAGGGTCACACATGGCGAGGGGGCCAAGTGTGTTTCTCAGGTCTCTTCCTCTTCTTTATGAAGCAGTTAGTCTCATTTCCATGATAACTGATTAATCAATTCATCTATTAATCCATAAATAAATTAATCTGTTCATGAGGTCTCTGCCCTCATGACACAATCACCTAAGGCTCTAGCTTTCAATGCTGCCACATTGGGGATTCTCAAACCATAACATCACTTGAGAACATATATGCAAAAACACAAAAATGCATAACTTTTATGTATATACATACAAGTCAGCCTAACAATATGTTTTTTAAAGCCATGAACATGTAATGTTTATCATAAAATGCAGAGGTTTAAAAATAGGAAATTTATTTGTTATAGCATGAACAAATAAGACAAAACAGTATAAATTCGATCAATGAACAAAAGTTGATAATATTAAGCATACAGAAAATATTTTAACAAACCAGTATTATAGAGTAACTTACTTCACTTAAAAAAATTATCTTCCACAAATCTATAGCAAACATCATACTGGATTATGAAACATGATTTTCTGTAAAATCAGAATTAAATATAAGAATGCCTGCTACAATCACTCTATATTCTGTTCTTCAGGTCCTAGGAAATTGATTGAAGCAAGCATAAACAGATAAGCACAATTTTTATTAATTGAAGATGGCATAGTTTTCTAAATAAGAAATTCAACAGAAACTAAAGACAAACTGAATTCATTAGAGAGCTTAGCCAAATTGCTGGATTCATGGTGGATACTTTAAAAATCCATGAATGAATTGAAAAGTTTGAATTCAAAAGTTTAATGAATTCAAAAGTTTAATTTTAAGAATAATGCTGCTGTTCAATACATTACTACAGTTCCAGTCTGTCATTTTCCCCTTCCAGCACTGGGGAGACTGAGCAGTTTGGACTCAGGAAGAATTCCACATAGCACAGCACAGTGGGTGTGGCAGATAGTCACCACACTGCCTCTTTAGACCTAGTGGAACCCATCCCTCCTCATGGGGCAGGGCCTCCCTGTGGGAATTTCAGCAACTCGCCCCAGAAGGTTAGGGACAGAATTCTTATCTCCCTGGGACAAAGCCCCTGGGGTGAGGAGTGGCTGTGGTTTCCATGGGTCAACAGAATTAGTCTTTTCCCCTGCTGGCTCTGAGGAATCCAGGCAGTCCAGATAAGTGAGATTCTCACCAGCACAGCACACCCACTCTGCCAATGGGCAGCCAGAGTGCTTCCTTAAGTGGGTCCCTGATCTCATGCCTCCTGATGGGGTGAGATTCCCCCAACAGGAGTCGCCAGACACCTTACATGGGAGCATTCTGGCTGGCATCAGGTCAGTGCCCCTCTGGGATGGAGCTCCCACAGGAAGGAGGAGGCAGACATCTTTGATTTTCTGCAGCCCCCATACCTCCAGGAGCAGGAGAAACCCAGGAGAAGAGGGTCTGGAGTGGACCCCTGGCAAACCACAACAACCCTACAGAAGAGGGTCTTAACTGTAAAAACAAAACCAAAAAAACAGAAAGCAACAACTACAACAACATCAATGAAAAAGTCCCCACAAAAACCCCATCCAAAGGTCAGCAGCCTCAGTGATCAAAGACAGATAAACTCAGGAAGATGAGAAAGAATCAATGAAGAAATTATGAAAACTCAAAAAGCCAGAGTGCTTCTCATCTCCTCCAAGTGATTGCAACATCTCTCCAGCAAGGGCACAGAACTGGGCTGAGGTTGAGATGGATTAACTGACAGAAGTAGGCATCGGAATGTGTGTAATAACAAACTTTGCTGAGCTAAAGGAACATGTTCTATCCCAAGGCAAAGAAGCTGAGAACCATGTTAAAAACATTACAGAAGCTGTTAATCAGAACAACCAGTTTAGACAGGAAAATAATGATCGAGCTGAAAAATAACATGAGAACTTCACAATGAAACCACAAGTATCAATAGCCAAATAGACCAAGTGGAGGAAAGAATTTTAGAGCTTGAAGACTATCTTGCTGAAATAACACAAGCAGACAATATTAGAGAAAAAAGAATGAAAAGGAATGAACAAAATCTCCAAGAACTATGAGGTTACGTAAAAAGACCAAACCTACAACTGATTGGGGTACCTAAAAGAGCTATGGAGAATGGAACCAAGTTGGAAAACACACTTCAGGATATCATCCAGAAGAACTTCCCCAACCTAGCAAGCCAAGCCAACATTCAAATTCAGGAAATCCAGAGAACCCCAATAAGACACTCCATGAGAAGATCAACCCCAAGACACATAATCCTCAGATTCTCCAAGTTTGAAATGAAGCAAAAAATGTTAAGGGCAGTCAGAGAGAAAAGCTAGGTCACCTACAAAGAAACCCATTAAAATAACAGTGGACCTCTCAGCAGAAATTCTACAAGCCAGAAGAGATTGGGGGCCAATATTCAACATTCTTAAACAAAAAAATTTCCAATCCAGAATTTCATATTTGCCCAAACTAAGCTACATAAGCAAAGGAGAAATAAAATCCTTTTCAGACAAGCAAATGATGAGAGAATTCATCACCACCAGGACTGCCTGGCAAGAGCTCCTGAAGGAAGCACTAAATATGGAAGGGAAAAACTATTACCAGCCACTACAAAAACACACTGAAGTACACAGATCAATGACACTATGAAGCAACTACATCAAGAGGTCTGTGCAATAATCAGGTAGCATCATGATGACAGGAACAAATTCACATAATAATATTAACCTTAAAAGTAAATGGGCTAAATGTGCCAATAAAAAGACACAGAATGGCAAGCTGGATAGAGACAAGACCCATGCATGTCCTGTATTCAAGAGACCTATCTCACGTGCAAAGATACACATAGGCTCAAAATAAAGGGATGGAGGAAAATCTACCAAGCAAATGGAAATCAGGAAAAAGCAGGAGTTGCAATCTTAGTTTCTGACAAAACAGGCTTTAAACCAACAAGATAAAAAAGACAAAGGCATTACATAATGATAAAGTGTTCAACAAGAAGAGCTAACTACCCTAAATATATATGAACCCAATAAAGGAGCCCCCAGATTCTTAAAACAGGTTCTTAGAAACCTATGAAAAGACCTACTCTCCCACACAATAATGTTGGGAGATTTTAATACCACATTTTCAATATTAGATCATTGAGACAGAAAATTGACAAAGTTAATCAGGACTTGAATTCAGCTCTGGATCAAGTGGACCTAATAGATATCTACCAAATTCTCAACCCCCCTCCCAAAAGAGAATATACATTCCTCTCGGTGCCACATGGCACTTACTCTAAAATTGATCACATAATTAAAAGTCCCAGCAAATGCAAAAGAACTGAAATAATAACAAACAGTCTCTCAGACCACAACGTAATCAAATTAGAACTCAAGATTAAGAAACTCACTCAAAACCAAACAACTACATGGAAATTGAACAACTTGTTTCTGATTGACTCCTGGATAAATAATGAAATAAGGCAGAAATCAAGAAGTTATTTGAAACAATTGAGAACAAAGAGGCAAGGTACTAGAATCTCTGGGATACAGCTAAAGCAGTGTTAAGAGGGAAATTTATAGCATGAAATGTCCACTTCAAAAATCTAGAAAGATCTCAAATAGACACCCTAACATCACAACCAAAAGAACTAGAGAACCAAGAGCAAACAAGCCCCAAAGCTAGCAGAAGGCAAGAAATAACCAAGATCAGATAGGAACTGAAGGAGATAGAGACATGAAAAACCCTTCAAAAAATCAATGAAACCAGGAGCTTGTTTTTTGAAAAATTTAATAAATTAGATAGACCGGTAGCTAGACCAATAAAGAAGAAAAGAGAGAAGAATCAAATTGGTACAATTAAAAAAATAAAGGTGATATCACAACTGACCTAACAGAAATACAAACAACCATCAGAAAATACTATAAAAACCTCTATGCAAATAAACAAGAAAATCTAGAAGAAACAGATAAATCCCTGGACACATACACCCTCCCAACACTAAACCAGGAAGAAGTCAAATCCATGAATAGATCAACAACAATCTCTGAAATTGAGGCAGTAATAAACAGCATATCAACCAAAAAAAGCCCAGGACCACATTTGTTTACAGCCAAGTTCTATCACAGATACAAAGAGGAGATGGTACCATTCCTTCTGAAATTATTCCAAACAATTGAAAGGGAGGGATTTTCTCTAACTCACATTATGAGGCCAGCATCAATCTGATACCAAAACCTGGCAGAGATACAACAAAAAAAAAAAATTTCAGGCCAATATCCCTGATGAACATCTATGTGAAAATCCTCAATAAAATATTGGCAAACATAATTCAGCAGCACATTAAAAGCAGCACAATCAAGTCAACTTGATCCCTGGAATGCAAGGCTGGTTCAACATACACAAATCAATAAACATAATCACATAAACAGAACTAACGACAAAAACCATATGATTATCTCGATAGATGCAGAAAAGGCACTCAATAAAATTCAGAATCCCTTCATGTTAAAAACTCTCAATAAACTAGGTATCGATGGAACATATCTCAAAATCATAAGAGCCATATATGACAAACTCACAACCAATATCATACTGAATGGGCAAAAGCTGGAAGCATTCCCTTTGAAAACCAGCACAAGACAAGGATGTGCTCTCTCACCACTCCTATTCAATATAGTATTGGAACTTCTGGCCAGGGAAATCAGGCAAAAGAAGGAAATAAAGGATATTTAAATAGGAAGAGTGGAAGTCAAGTTGTCTCTGTTTGCAGATGACATGATCCTATATCCAGAAAACCCCATTGTCTCAGCCCAAAAGCTTCTTAAGCTGATAAGCAACTTCAGCAAAGTCTCAGGATACAAAATCTATGTGCAAAAATCACAAATATTTCTATACACCAAAATAGACAAGGAGAGCCAAATCATGAATGAACTTCCATTCACAATTGCTATAAAGAGAGCTAAATACCTAGGAATGCAGCTAACAAGGAATGTGAAGGACCTCTTCAATTAGAACTACAAACCACTGCTCAAGAAAATCAGAGATAACATAAACAAATGGAAAAGCATTTCATGCCAATGAATAGGAAGAAGCAATATCATGAAAATTGCCATACTGCCCAAAGTAATTTATAGATTAGATGCTATTCCCATTAAACTACCATTGACATTCTTCACAGAACTAAAAAAAGTACTTTAAAATTCATATGGAATGAAAAAGGAGCTCACATAGCCAAGATAATCCTAAGCAAAAAGAACAAAGCTGGAGACATCACACAACTCGACTTCAAACTACACTACCAGGCTACAGTAACCAAAACAGCATGATACTGGTACCAAAACAGACACAGACTAATGGAACAGTATAGAGATCTCAGAAATAGGACCACACATCTACAACCATCTGATCTTTGACAAACCTGACAAAAACAAGCAATGGGGAAAGGATTCCCTGTTTAATAAATGGTGCTGGGAAAACTGGCTAGTCATATGTAGAAAATTCAACCTAGACCCATTCCTTACACCTTTTACAAAAATTAACTCAAGATGGATTAAAGACTTAAATGTAAAACTCAAAACCATAAAAATCCTGGAAGAAAATATAGGCAATACTATTCAGGACATAGGTATGGGAAAAGATGTTATAACAAAAACATCGAAAGCAATTGCAACAAAAGCAAAAATTGACAAATGAGACCTAATTAAGGAGCTTCTGCACAGCACAAGAAACTGTCATCAGAGTGAACAGGCAACCTACAGAATGGGAGGAAATTTTTGCAATCTACCCATCTGACAAGGTCTAATATCCAGAATCTACAAGGAACTTAAACAAATTTACAAGAAAAGTGGGCAAAAAATATGAACAGACACTTTTCAAAAGAAGCAATTTGTGCAGCCAGCAAACATATGAAAAAGAGCTCAACATCATTGATCATTAGAGAAATGCAAATTAAAGCCACAATGAGATACCATCTCACACCTGTAAGAATGGTGCTTTTTAAAAAGTTAAAAAACAACAGATGCTGATGAGGCTGTGGAGAAATAAGAATGATTTCACACTGTTGGTGGGACTATATATTAGTTCAACCATTATGAAGACAGTGTGGTGATTCCTGAAGGGCCTAGAACCAGAAATACCATTTGACCTAACAATCCCATTACTAGGTATATACCCAAATGATTATAAATTATTCTACTATGAAGATATATACACCCATATGTTCATTGCAGCACTATTCACAAAAGTGAAGACATGGAGTCAACCCACATGCCCAACAGTGATAGACTGGATAAAGGAAGTGTGGTACATATCCACCGTGGAATACTATGCAGCCATAAAAAGGAATAAGATCACGTCATTTGCAGGGATCTGGATGGAGCTGGAAGCCATTATTCTCAGCAAACTAATGCAGGAACAGAAAACCAAACACCACATGTTCTTCCTTATAAGTGGGAGTTGAATGATGAGAACACACAGATACAAGGAGGGGAACAACTTACACTGGGGCCTGTCAGCAGTGAGTGCAGCGTGATGAAGAGCATCAGGAAAAATAGCTAATGCATACTGGGCTTAATACCTAGGTGATGGGTTGACAGGTGCAGCAAACCACCATGGCACACGTTTACCTATGTAACAAAGCTGCATATCCTGCACATGTATCCCAGAAAATAAAAAACAAAAAAATGCTATTACAATAACAAAAGCCATCTGTGATTCCTATAAATAAATGTATAATAAGCTGCAAGAATTTTATACAGAAATTATAAGCAGTACAATGAATTCAGAAGTTTAATTTTAAGATAATTGTTATTACAATAATAAAAACTACTATGATAGCTATAAATAAATTTATAATAATTATATAGGAATTTTATACAGAAATTATAAGCAGTACTAAGGGATGTAATGGAATCTTTAAATAAATGTAGTATATCCATGAATGGAATACTCTATATCAGTATTGTTCTTAAAAATGTAAGGAGATATTCATGTGTAATTTTGAATTTTCAATGGCCATTTTTAAAGACCAAAAATAATAGGTGAAGATAATTTTAATATTTCATTAAAATTATGTTCACAATATTATGATTTCAATATATAATCAGCATGAAATATAGTAGTGACATATTTTAGAAAAAAATTTTTAGGCCAGGCGCGGTGGCTCATGCCTGTAATCCCGGCACTTTGGGAGGCCGAGGCGGGTGGATCATGAGGTCAGGAGTTCAAGACTAGCCTGGCCAAGATGGTGAAACCCTGTCTCTACCAAAAATACAAAAATTGGCGGGCATGGTGGCAGGCACCTGTAATCCCAGCTACCTGGGAGGCTGAGGCAGGAGAATCGCTTGAACCTGGGGGACGGAGGTTGCAGTGAGCCGAGATCGCGCCACTGTACTCCAGCCTGGGCAACAGAGTGAGACATCGTCACCAAAAAAAAAAAAAAAAAATTAGCAATGATATTGAAATCCAAATCAGATTTTTATTTTATATTAAGCCATATTTCTAGTGGCTTAATGTTCTCAATAGCCACATGTGCCTCATGGCACTCTGTTGGACAAATGTCTCTCCATATCATGAAGATGGCAGGCAATGCTGTACAAATCAATTTGTAAATATGATATGAATCTGCATTGCCTGGATTTATAGTTCAGCTTCCCTAGTACCAGGTTAACAATCTCTGTGGCCTTGGGGATATGAGATATTACTATTATTGCTATAAAGATTTTGTAAGTTAATATTGGAAAATATTTTGGACCTAGAACAATACTTGAGATAGAGTAGTAACAATACAGTGTTTTAGTTAGGCACTGTGGCTCGTGCCTGTAATCCCAGCACTTTGGGAGGCCCAGGTGGGTGGATCACCTGAGGTCAGGAGTTCAAGACCATCCTGGCCAACATGATGAAACCCCATCTCTACTAAAAATACAAAAATTAGCCGTCCATGGTGGCACACACCTGTAATTCCAGCTGCTCAGGAGGCTGAGGCAGGAGAATTGCTTGAATCTAGGAGGCAGAGGTTGCAGTGAGTTGAGATTGCACCACTGCACACCAGCCTGGGTGACAGAGTGAAACTCCATCTCAAAAATATATATATATAGTGTTTAAAAAGTAAATACTTTTACATAATAATTTTTTCAATAATTTACATAATTGAAAAAGCAATACTAAAATTATTATGAAAATTTGGTGGGCACCAAGCAGCAAAGCCAGTTTGAAAACAAAAGAATAAGTGAGTTATAGAAAGATTTGCTTTAAAAGATTCAAAATTTTACAGAATTCGGCAACAAACTGTTGTGCTACTTAAATAGGAACACATTACATAAGCCAATGGGCCAGACTAGAGACTCAGAGCAGTCCTATACACACAAGAGAATGTTAAATGGCATGTGGCATTATTAATCACGAGGTAAGAAAGAATTAAACAAAAAATGGTGCTGGGACTTTTGGCCATATGTATGAAAAATATTGGAGCCTTACTTCAAAATATGTGAAAAAAAAGCAAATTCTAGGAAATAATAATTGATAAGTTTAAAAGCAGGAACATTTAAATTAAAATATTTAAATAATATAATTATGTCTTTGTGATAAAACAATATTTTATATATAAAAGACAAGAAAGGATGGAGAAATCCAACCTTGAAGGAAAAGAGGGACATGTTTGAAAGATTTGAAGTTAATTTTGTTGTTGTTGATATTATTATTGTTCAGGAAATAACAACAAACATAGTGAAGAGGCCAGCCACAAACTGGGAGGATTATTTTGGCATTTTCAACTAGGCTATAAATTTTTTAAATGTCACAATAGAAAAAATAAATCAGATATAGGAATAGGCAATTTAATGATTAGAAAACCAAATGATCCATTATCATTGGGAAACGTGACTTACGCATTCTCAAGAATGGAAATGCAAATAACAGATATAATGCGATTCCATTTCAGACCCCTTCCATTGGCAAGAATGAAAATATCTGTCACTATCAGTGTTAGAAAACACAGGGATAAATGCTTTCTTTTACTATGTGTAGGAATATAGGTTGGGAAGCTGTCTGGAGAAGGAATTTGGCAACATTTAGTAACATGAGAAGTTCTACCCTTCACTGCAGCCTTGTTTCTATGGCATAAGGATTGGGAAAAAAATATTATTAGGAGATTTAGTATTAGTAAATAAGTTATTGTGTGCTGATTTCTTGGAGTGCTTTAAAACAGTTAAAATATCATGTATTATTATGTATTAATATAAATATACATTTAAAAGCTGAGTAAAATATTGCAGGTACTGTGGTTATGTTTAAAAGTCATCTTTTAGAAATCATACTAAAATATTTAGAGATGATATGATGTTGGAAATTTGCTTCAAGATAATCCATTTGGAGATGGGAGGTGAATAGGTGTCAAGATGAAAGAAAGGGATGAGTTCTACATCTGGATTTAGCTACCTGGGGGTCTATTTTCTTAACCTTTATATATGTTTGAAATTTTCCATAATAAAACCCTAGAAAAGTGAACAATGATTTGTACAGAACATATCAAATGTACACAAAATTTAAAATAAAAGTATTTTTATTCTGCAAAGATTCAGAGCACTGGAATTATGAGTTAATTCACAGTCTTCTTCTTCTTCTTCTTCTTTTTTTTTTTTTTTGAGTTGGAATCTCGCTCTGTTGCCCAGGCTGGAGCGCAGTGGCAGATCTCCGCTCACTGCAACCTCCACCTCCCATGTTCAAGTGATTCTCATGCCTCAGCCTCCCAAGTAGCTGGGATTACAGGCACGGGCCACCACGCCTGGCTAATTTTTGTATTTTTGGTAGAGATGGGGTTTCACCATGTTGGCCAGGCTGGTCTCAAACGTGACCTCCAGTGATCTGCCCGCCTTGGCCTCCCAAAGTGCATGAGCCACCACACCTGGACAAGTAAATTCATACTTGATCAATTATTTATAGATTTCTAAAACTAATTATCCATACTATAAGTGAAAATTGCATATGACATATTGTACAAATTTTTTTACAGCTATGGAACACACATGCATATATACACTCAAAACAGAGACAGACGACCAGACTTCTCACATTGATGGTGTCACTCAAGTAAGAAAAAGGGTAATTTTTTTTCATGCTTCCAGATTTTTTGTGATTTTTTTCATTTTTAAGTTAATATAAATAACATGCTATTGCATCCTTTCATAATCATTCAAAGATGATAGTCCCAAAAATACTTCAGAAAGCATATTTTTGAATTAGTTTTATAACCAATATCCTTCCTTTAGTATCTTTATAGCTGCCTTTCCAAATGCCTTTGTAACTGCCATTTCAGAGCGTGCAAATCTTTTTTTAAATACTTCTTAAATAGTATTACTTCAGGTCGAAATACTTCTCATCAAATAATTTATTTACTCACTTAAAACCCAGGATTTAATGAGCAGAACAGATTATGGAATTACAGGATACCTCTTTTGTGGTTTAAGTTCTGATAAAGAAGTGATTCTGTTAGTGTCATTGATTGATGGTTGTGTTGATGAGTATGTGGTGGGAGGAGAAGAACACGAGAGGTGAGAGAGAGGAAAAAAAGAGAGAAATCTTGGTCAATATTATATATATCTTAGACATTTTAGTGCTATTCATCCTAGACTTGTTATTTCTGTGATCATGCAAATATACCTGTAAATTATCCTGTGAGAGCCTGGAAGAAGTTGACTTGGCCCAGAAAAGGTGCGTAAAGAAGGACACTGCTGGCATTAGCCTCTGAGTCATTACCATTTTTAGGGGCATCACTTCTCTCAGCTTAGTAACATAGAAGGAAATTAAGTCCTTCAAGATTTTTTTTCACAGTTATTTTTTCTCAGTTGATAGGAACAATGGAGGATGATTGAAGAGCTAAGACCCAAAGACTTTAATTTTCCAAATTGCCTTAATTTGATCTAGAAGGAATGCTACATTTTGTTAAATTGTATTACGACAAAGAGAAGCTGGTCACTTCTCAGCATGAATCTGAAAGCAAATAATTTCCACAAAAAAGGACTGTATTTAACTAGACAAGTAATTACATTGTGGTGCTACTATCTCCCCTGCCTCAGATTAGAAAAGTATTCAATTATCACTCCATTAGATCAAAAAATATTTTTAGTGATACATTTCAAGTGAAGTAATTTATTCCTAAATAGATTCCAATGAATTTTTGGATTAACCTTCATGAATTTTGCTGATTAAACTCAATGCTTTTCCTCAAAAATAAAATTTAAACCTGTTTTATATTTGATTAATATTTTCTTCACTATTAATATTTTTCTTAAATTATGCAGTAAATCATATTCAATTTACAGCATAGGATAATTGAGTTAATTGTACAGTTTAACCAACCTACTATACTAGTGTATTTCTAGACAATTCCATGGTTTAATTTTCATTATTTTACAATGAGCAATATATACAAATATATAGTAAAGGTATATGTATACATAACTTAGAATAAAACCATATGGTAGGGTGAACAGAGAGAAAGAGAAAAGCATATATAATTAAGAAATTAAATGGCTATAAGTTCTTTTTACTACTTCTTTTTCAATTTAGATGACTTCTATATTCATTGCTTGCCTTATTGCCTTGGCTTGAACCTCCAGTAAAATGCTGAGTAAAAAAAGGAGGAGAGCAGGCATCCTGGACTTTGTACTGATCTCAGAGAAAAAGCATGTAGTCCTTTATCATTAACTACAATGTTAGCTTTAATTTTTGATACATGACCTTTATCAGATTGAGAAAGTTTGTTTTTATTCCTAGCGTGCTAGTTTTTATTAGAAATAAGTATTAAATTTTATAAAATGCCTTTTCTGCATCTAATGAGAAATTACTTCTTTAAAAGTTTTATTTTTAATGAAGAATAACATTTATTGATTTTCAAATGTTAAACAATAACCTTGCACTTCTAACATATATCCTACTTATTCATGATGTATTGGCATTTTCAGACACTTGTGCTTAGCATTTTTGCATTGAAGTTGATAAGGAATATTGTTCTGTTGTTGTTTTTTAAATTGTAATGTCTTTGTGCAGTTTTGGTATCAGGTTAATGCTGGCCTCCAGGTAAATCGGAATATATCAGAATATATTTTCACCCCTTCAAATGTATGTTTGAAAATGTTTTTCTTTCTTAATGTTTCATATGATTCATCTCAGCCTGAAGTTTCTTTGTGGGAGGGTTTTAAAAATTATGAATTCAATTTCAGAAGTAGATTTTAGGACCATTCAGGTTATTAGGTTTTTTTTTAAATAAGCTTCTTTAGTTTGCATCTTTCATGGAATCTATTTTATCTAAATAGTCACATTTATTGACCAATCACTTGCTAATTCCAGTATCCACCCCTTAAACCTTTTCTAAGGGTTGAAGGCAGCACAGGGAGACAGATTTGAGTTTGGTTTCTCTCTCCTTGAAAGTAAAATTTCAATATAAAGCTTTTCTTAAAAATTCCAGCGCCATAGTATTGGATTCTAGCGCATCGGGCAGCTAGCACTTTTTGCTCAATAACAACTTTAAATTTCTTTAAATTATCCTGCATTATTGAAACGAAAAGAAGAGTAGAAGTGAGAAGCAAAGGAGAAGAATAAAGATATGGCCCTCCTACAACCAAACTAAAGGACAAGAATAAAGAATAGTAGAATCTATTAGCCAAACAACTGAATTTTAGGCACTTGACTTAGATACATAAAGATTCCATAACCATATTTTTTGTTTGCTAGGTAACAACATTTTCTAATCCTGGATAGATATCAAAAACACTCAAGGAGACATTTAAAGATACAGTTTGTTATTTTATTTGCAGATTCTAACTTATAGGGGATATTATTAGATTGGTGCATAAACAATTACGGTTTTTGCCGTTACTTTAATGTTTTTGCACCAACCTAATATAACGGACCCCTATATATCTATCACCCACCTTCAACAATGAATAACATTTTGCTAATCTTATTATATCTGCCCTAAATGTTTCTTTTAAAATAATTCTGGAGCATATTAAAGCTAATTGCAGATATCATCATCTCATTTTTCTGTAGATAGGTTATGTATCTTTATTATTAAGCATATTCTATAAGAGTATTTTTAAAAATAACCACCAAGTTAATATCACTGTCAAACAGAAACTTTTTAACTATGTAGAATAGCCTGTCTGTACTAAAGTTTTCTCAACAGACCTTAATGATATACATTTTTAGAATTGGTTTATTCAGATCAGGATTTGAACATCTCTTGTGTCTTTTATTTAATAACAATTCTTTTTTGCCCTGATATCATTGGATGAGTCCGAAAAGCCACATCATTTATCCTGTAGATGATGGAACACAGATTTGATTTCACCTAAACTTTTCTGACTGTTGTTGGTTATCTTGTTCCTCTACCCCTTTTAGTTCATATACACTTCTGCTACATTGTTCAAAGTTTAAGATTTTTTTTCTGTCATTAAAATAATTTCTGTCAAGGATACTCAGTCAAAATATGATGTTTAAAGTCACAGGACCCAGTTAACTTCTATTGGAGGTTATAGTACTTCCTTGATATAGGGTTTAGCGTATCAATTTTAGTTCGCTTTCTATTTATATGGCTTGTGTCTTTTTAACTGAATATTCTTGGTTTCAAAATCAAAACTATACAAGTAAATGTATTGTTAGAAGTCTCACCTCTGTTTCTATATTCTCTCCCAGTTCCCTCTTTCCTCATATAAGGTAATTATGTTTGGTTCAGTCTGGCTTTATTCTTTAATAGTTTCATCTTGAAAATATAAGCATGAGTGTATATAATGCTTATATTGCCAACATCCCTTTTCTAGAAAAAGTAATTTATTATAAAGATGTTTCTATATCTACTTTTTTTTTTAGCTTGACAATATTCTCCTTTGGCTTAGTTTTTAAAAAACCTTACCGTGTATCCAAGAGATATTTAATCTTCTTTATTTTTGTTATCAGATAGATCTACCATATTTTATTCAACTAGTGTCCTAGAGTGGACAAAAGGCCTATTTCTAGTTTCTCATTATTACTAATATGCCACAATAAAAATAATCTTGTGCATATGTCACTTTAATATTTTGTGGTTTTGCCACAGAATCTTAGGAATAGAACCCTAGAATTTATATTTCTGAGACTAACAGTAAATTCTTATCATATATTTAGGATAGAGATTTTTTTCCAAATTCCCTTTCACAGAAGTTGTATCATTTTGTATTTCCACTAGCTATGATGTCAGAATGCCTATTTATTTTACAGATTTACCAATAGAGACTGCAGTTAATTTTTGTATTTTTTATTAATTCAATATATGAGAAATAGTACTACAGTGTAGTTTAGTCAGCATTTATGTTATTTTGAGCCAGATTGAGTAGTTTTTCATAAGATTAAGAATCATTTGATATTATGTTTCTGTGTACTATGTTTTCAGGCTTCTATATAGTAAATAAATTTTAAAACTATTTTTATGTCCAAACTGAATTGATTCCCAAATATATTCATACAATAATATAGAACATATTAGAGCAATTAGAAGCTATCATATTCTATGAAAGTAATTTTTAGTTTCTATCCCAAACATATTTAGTCATGGTTAAGATTTTAGTTGTAAGAAGAATCTACAAGTCCCAGTGGTATTTATTGAGAAACATGGAGAGTAAATGAAAACAGTCAACAGAAATACTTCAAAGACTTTCAATAATTTAAAACGTTTGTTCTTCTAGCTAAAAGAGTAAGGGAAAAGGCTGAATAACATTTACAAATCAATGAATATAAAGGCACAAGGAAAGATAAGTTATTGCATATGTGTGAACTGCATAATCAAAAACAAGGATAACTAGACTACCTTAGGCATGAAGCAAAACATTGGCAGGAAATGCAGCAGGAAATATGTATCTTTTCTGAAAGGATGTATTCTGTCCGAAAATCAATAGAGATATGCCACGGGCTTTTTTTCTGGGGTGGGGCTTCGTTATGTTTTGAAGTTTGGCTTATTGGTCACTTTTGCTGATTGGCTGATGCTCAGCTGATAAAATTGCTGATGTTCATTGACCTTTATTGTATTCCATGAGGCTCCCTGAATCTAATTCACCTCCCTTTCTGAGGTTGTCATAGGAGTCAGTATTATAGTATTATAGTACCACTGAAAAAGAGGGCTATATAAACAGCTAGGAAGAAGTACACCCTCACAATTCTTCCTAACATTAATAAGTCTAGGTGTCCTATATTCATTCAATCTGTGTTTATATATTGAGCCGCTATTATACAGCACAACTGGGATAATTATTGAGAAGAAAATAATTTCAACAATTTTGCTTTATGGATATATAAGATTAGATATGCTTTTTAATAAAATATACGTTATGACTTAGCAACACTGAAAGGCAGGTAACATGAAAATATTCTGCCTGAATACATCCAAGTATAATGAATACATACAAAAAAATTTAAATTCATATCGACCTCAAAGAAAAGTGAGAGATTCAAACCACCATGGCATGTGTTTGCCTATGTAACAAACTTGCATGTCCTGTACATGTATCCCAGAACTTAAATTAAATTTAAAAAAACATAGATAGGAAAGATAGTTCCAAACTATATTAGGGCCATTAAATAAATGCCAGTTTTCTTAGTTAAAACAAATGGAGGAGAAATACAATATCAGAGGTGTTATGTGGTACTGATGCTTTTACTTACCTGGTTGAGCTGGGGAGAAGGGGACGAGAGAGGTAAGGTTGTAGGATTTAATAACCAAGAGGCTTGCATTTAAAATCAGTTGAACTTATATTCAGCTGAGCAGGGTAGAATTTATGTGGCCCATGAAAATGACCAAAAACACTAAAAATGTAAACACAAAGAGAATGGATAAATATGGAAAACTCATGCAGAAAGAGATGACAAGAAAAATTCCATATTTAAATTTAGGATCTAGATAAGAAAATAACAACAAAAGACCGTTGCATAGCAAGTCATAATTACAGTCTTCTTGTTCTATAGGTTCAAGGCAAAATTCACACTACTTACCTGCCTCCTTATGAAACATATGTAAAAAGTGCTACTGGGATGGTTGTATCGCAAGAAATTCTAAGCCTAAAATCTTAAATCATAAAAACATAATAGGAAAGAATCTACTATGTTTGAGGGTCTATAGACTAAATAGGAATATCTGATCCCTGATCATTTTACATAGTATAATTATCAGATATTGACAATAACTTAAGTATGTTTAAAATTATTGAAGAAGACACCGAATGCTCAAAAAACCAAACTACTAACAACTACAACCAACAAAAAGAAGATGAATTTGAAAGAGCATCAAATAGAATTTCTAGAGGTGATTGATGTAGTTTCTAAAATTAGAAACTTGGTGGCCTAATCAGTAAATCAGACATAGCTAAATGAACAATTAGGGATTGTAAGACATATTAGAATACATATTCTGGAATCCATATACACAGAGTTGAAAAATGTGGCATATTTAAATCTATCATAATGAAACTGTAGAACAGCAAAAACACAGAGAAGATCTTAAAAGCAACCAGTGAGAAATGACACATTGACTGTCTATTCCTCAACAGGCTTTACAGGAATCAAAAAGCTGTAAATATGTTTACCTAGAATGTATACCCTAGGAGCATCTACAGGAAACCATCTAAGAAAGAACGCAGTCACCCATGGGCAGATGCCAGGTGTGATTCCCATTTGCCTAGCCTCTTTAGCAGGAATTATCATAAGCAAAGTCTGCCCCTGCCCACTCATTCTAGCTCATTATGAGTCAGAAGTCAAAGTCACCTCACTTTTTTCAACTTGATTGCCAATTCTTCAAAGTCATAAGCATGTATCATATGTATTCTTGTGATGTACACAGTGCTCTATAAATAGAGAAAATGTAACATCTTAATACAATTTACTTTTAGCAGACTTGAATCTCTCTCTGTATATATATATATATATATATGTATGTATATGTATTATGTAAAATATACAGTCACCTCTTGGTATCCACAAGGAATTGGTTTCAGGACCCCTCATATACCAAAATCCACAGATCTGAAGTTTCTTATGGTCAATGCTTTATACTAAGTTCCATATTCAGAAACCACAAATATGGAGGGTCTACGGTGCACATACACACACACAGACATATACACACACATATACATATACATATGTATATATGTATGTATACGTATATGTGTGTGTATGTGTGTATTTATGTGTGTATAATGTGTATAGTATGTTAAAAACTACACACACAGGGCCGGGCATGGTGGCTCATGCCTGTAATCCCATTACTTTGGGAGGCCAAGATGGGTGGATCACCTGAGGTCAGAAGTTTGAGACCAGCCTGGCCAACCTGGTAAAAACCAGTCTCTACTAAAAGTGGAAAAAAATTAGCTGGACATGGTGGCAGGTGCCTGTAATCCCAGCTACTCGGGAGGCTGAGGCAGAAGAATTGCTTGAACCCAGGAGGCAGAGGTTGCAGTGAGCCGAGATTGCACCACTGCACTCCAGCCTGGGCAACAAGAGCGAAACTCTGTCTCAAAGGAAAAAAAAAAAAGAAACTACACACACACACACATATGCATATGTATATATGTATGTATACATATGTGTGCATGCATGTGTATATAGTGACTCTGACTATACATACATATATACATATAAGTGTATGTGTGTATAGTTTTTAAGATGAGAAACTAAATCAGTTATTTCTAGTTCTATTTGTTGTTACTTCAATTTTAGCTGTTTTTGTTGGTAGGGGTTGTTAGAGTCACCTTCAGATTGTTTTATAAAGTCTTTCAATGCCAGACTGACATTTTCACTTCAGTCAGTTGGTATAGGTAGCATTTTGCATGTTTGAGCAAAGAGTTGTCAAAGCTTTATGTTTAGAAAATGTAATGCTGTATAGGCATTCTATTTCTTTTTATATTCTAGAGTTTCTAGTAAAATGTTCAAGTTATAATAAATATTTAATGAATTCGATTCAATTTGCTATTCATCTCCTTGGTAAAGAAATTACTGTATTTTCAGTTTTATATAGAATAACACTAACATGTGAGTTTTTAAAAGTTAATTTTAATTACATAAGAAATGAATGCTCATTTTGAAGATATGAAAAGATGAAGTGAAATGGAACCATCTATAGTACTGCTACTAAAGACAGTTGCTGCTAAAATTTTGTTGCATACATTTCCAAATATTTTTTATTCATAATCATACACATAAATATAGAAATGTAAAGCAAACATGACATATGTATGTGTGTGTATAAAACTACATTGTTTATATAATGCTTATCTACATACATACATATACTTTTATAACTTGTTTTTACTCCCCAGTATATATTAAAATATTTATGTCAATAACAATACTCTTTTATTCTTAATGCTTGCATGGTATTTTATTTTATAGATGTGCTATAAGTATTTAATTGATTATTTTGTTGGATTTTAAGTTTCAACTTCCCTTACTCTCATGAACACTATGAGAAACTTATTTTACATATATTCTTCTTGAAGTTTTCATATCATTTCTCAGAATATATTTCTAAATTGAACTTTGCAGGTTAAATGATATAAAAATTTGTAAAGCATTAACAAAAATTTGAACCTGTATTTTTTCACTCTCACCAGCAAATAGAAAATTCTGAAGATTTAGGATTCCACTACTTGCAAGTAAAAGCCATGTTTTATTTTTGTTTTTTTCTTAATCAGGCTTTTCTTAAAATATATTTAGATTTTAAAGTTTTGCCTTCCAAAAAAACTCTCTGAATTTCCCACTTTTGTAATTTCTCAATTACAAATTTCTCAATTACAATTTGAGAAATTACAAATTTCAATTTGTAATTTTTTGTGTAATTTCGTGTAACAAAGTGTTTTGCAAGAGTTGGACTAGATTATTTTCTAGCTACTGTATTCTATGAGATAATATAGATATAGAGATACGGCCACATCATATAAAGATACATCATATATACGAATACATATTTTACATATATATGTAAAACCATATCTGAGCACATATAACAAAATAAAAATGTGTCAAATATACATGTTTTTATTTTTTCTAGTCATATATGTTAGACATATATGTTTGATATATTTTTATTTTGCTTCTCTAAGTAGATTTGAAAATAATATAATTTTAAGACCTGACTCAAAGAAATCAAATAAAAAATGATATGGCATTTGTTGAGTTAGCATGGCCTTCAGGAACTTGAAAATTAATTAAAGTGCTTACTGTTTGCTTTTTTTAGTTTATATACTTACTACTGTCCCAATCAAACTGAAAGCCTAAAATTTCATATTCCACTTAGAAAGGCTAAAGAATATTTCATCCACCAAGTTGGATTTATGTAAAAAAAAAAAGACATATTTTGTATTCTATCATTTAAGCACTTTCTGAAGTATGCTATTTTATTCGAATCTAATGCCATTCTAACTCCTCTCCATTTTGTCCTGCATGAAGCAATTATAACCCCAGATTGCTACATGGTCTGGGAGCACCAGAAAGACTGTTAACACTTCACCTCTCTGGCACAAGATCACACTCAACAGCTTATTAAGATTCAGGCCTCAGCACCAATGACTAATGTGCAGCACAGGCCTGGGATTTACTTCCAACTCATTTAATTACAGAAATCAATGAACTCCTGGAGCTGGGCCAGGTGAGAGAAAATGAGTCTAGCCCAACTGACATTTTGTTTTTGCTGTCAGGATAGTTCAAGCATCCTTACCTAAAGAAGCTATTGTAATCTACAAGACCTCAAACGGCAAAATGGTGAGAATAAAAAAGTCCAAAAGGTTTGCTTTTGGATAAAAAATAAATATGTAACCTAGGTTTGCTATTTTATTAAATCACCATGATGTTGAACTTTTTTGACCATTACCCTAGATAAGAAAGACATTTTAGATCACAACCCATTACACACATACACACATACACACACACACACACACACACCCCAATGACAACAACACCTAGTATCAATGAGTTTTTAAAGACATAAAAAAAAAAAATTCATATTGTGGCATGATGTCTGGCATTTGGTAGATTACTCCAATAATATTAATGTTTTTATTAAATTATTCTAGAATTTATCAATCCAGAAATATATACAATTTCACTATAAGGTACAAAGAGAATTTATTTTGAAAAGCAGTTGAAATATCTGAATACAAGGTATTCGTAACCTGACTGGGAAAGTGTAAAACAGAGCATGGTAGTTGACGAATTATACAGAAGGTAAAGCTCATAGACATTTAGAAGCAACAATGGCATAGTGAGCTAGAGTGGTATCATAAGAAGCAGCACTTGGGCGGGGTGTCGTAGTTCACACCTGTAATCCCAGCACTTAGGGAGGCTGAGGCGGGTGGATCACAACGTCAGGAGAAAGAGACCATCCCGGCTAACATGGTGAAACCCTGTCTCTACGAAAAATACAAAAATTAGCTGGGCATGGTGGTGCGTGCCTGTAGTCCCAGCTACTCAGGAGGCTGAGGCAGGAGAATCACTTGAACCCTAGAAGGCAGAGGTTGCAGTGAGCTGAGATCACGCCACTGCCCTCAAGCCTGGCAACAAAGTGAGACTCCGTCAAAAAAAAAAAAAAAAAAAAAAAAAAAAAAAAAGAAGCAGCACTTAGACTGGGTGAGAAAACAGAGAGTAAACAGAAAAAAAAGAAGAGCTCTGGAGACTGGAGAAGAACCAAGAAGGATAAGGTAGCCTTGAGAACTTTCTAATACCAGCAGTGAGCCTAATAGAAAACAAGTACAAACAGAAACAGATTTTGCATCCCAATTGTCCACCAATGAGTTATTTTACCTAGGACAAGTTAATTAACTGTAATGAGTTACAGTTTTCTTGTTCATAAAGTAGAATGATGATGATCTCCACCTCCTAGGGCTCATCTCTTTTAAATACAATTAAATATTTTAGTTTTAAGAAATAGAAGGATTTACACAAAGTAAGCTGTAAAGAAATGTTAAATATTGGGCCGGGTGCGTTGGCTCTAGCCTGTAATCCCAGCACTTTTGGAGGTCGAGGTGGGTGGATCACCTGAGATCAGGTGTTCGAGACCAGCCGGGCGAACATGCCTCATCTCTACTAAAAATGCAAAAATTAGCCAGGCGTGATGGTGCGCGCTTGTAATCCCAGCTACTCGGGAGGCTGAGGCAGGAAAATCACTTGAACCCGAGAGGTGGACGTTGCAGTGAGCTGAGATTGCGCCATTGTACTCTAACCTGGGCAACAAGAAACTCTGTCTCAAAAAAAGAAAAAAGTTAAATATTATCATTAATATTAAAGTTACCCTTCCTACATGTATATAAATACTATAGTTATGTTACTGCAGTTATTGTTTACCTTTCAATTATTAGGCACTGAACACTTATTTTCCTTTCCTTCATTACAGCATTCATAGTGTTTGGCAAAGCAATAGCATCTCTGTAGAAGGTTACTGTTACTCAGCATGAGCTAATTTTCTGAGAGATAAGTAGAAATTCCCACCAATAGATGATGGATATCCAAACATTATTCTATACAGGGATATTTATTCATGTGTTAAAAGCTTGGTTGTAATTTTTCTCCAGACCTCTACATTTTTTTTCAATAGTGCTATCATTTTCTCTTTCACCCACGCTAGAAGTCTTGGGTGATTTTTTCATTAATATGGTGCAGGGGAACATGGACAGAAGAGGAATAATGTACCCACAAATGAAACAGAATTGATCATCTGAACCATGGACAGCTGTAGATATGTGCCATCCCAACATTGTATTCACATAAAATGCATTACTTCTTGGTTTTCTTCATTAAATTCATCGAAAAATTCTTTTTATTTTATGCCACAATATATTTAACAGTGATATATTCAGAGTCTGCAATGTTACACATGCCATGTTTGAAGTTGTTGGCATAGGGTTAAAAAACAGATAGATTGGTCTATGGAAGGTATTGCCTATATCAGATACAGAAAGTATAAATTATTATAACATCGTTTGATAAAAAATTAAAATAAAAAATATACTGGGATGAAGCCATGGATAGGCTGGGGATAAAAATGCCCATTCAGGATGAGGGTTATGTTTCAAGTAAGTAATAGCTATATCCCTTAGCTCAGTCTTGAAAGCTGCATAGAAAATAGTTGATGTAACTATCTTCTAGTACTGCCATAATAAAGTACCGCAGACTGGGTGGCTTAAATATTAGTAATTTATACTTTCACCCTTCTGGAAGCTAAGAACTCCAAGATCAAGATGTCAGCAGGTTTAGTTTCTCCTGATGTCACTCTGTTTGGCTTGTAGACTGCTGCCTTCTTACATGTTCTTATATGGCCTATCTTCTGTGCTTGTGTATATGTGGTGTCTCTGTGTGTTCAAATTTCCTCTCCTTATAAGGACATTAGCCATATTGAATTAGGGTCCATGCTAATGACGTAATTTTCACTTAATCACCTCTTTAAATCCTCTCTCTCCCAATGCAGTCACATGCTGAGGTACTAGGGGTGAGGGCTTCAACATAGGAATTTTGAGAGAATGCTATTCAGCCGCAGATGATAATTGGGTGAGTTTCAGCCTTTCTTTAATTCATTCAAGTACAGTTGGTTCTGCTATAATGAGAAATGTGTATTCTGAAGCCTCACTATTCTCTGAAAACTTGGCACAATAAAAGCTACAGGGCTTATGAGGAAAGTAGGGTTGAGACACAACACTCAAATACTTTATCAGTAACACATATAAAAAGAGATAGGAACCTAGCAAAAATGGCAAAACAGTTCTACACATTATATATGTTTGAAAATATGTAAATACTACAATAAATATAACAATTTATTTTGAGAAAGACCTGAAATCATTTGTGGAAATGGGTATTGGAAAGGCTGCAGCTTGGGAATTATTGTGAAGTGGTAAAAGATTTATCTGAAACAAGATTTATATGAAAGGGAAAGTTATGACACCAAATTTGGTAGGGGCTGGCTTGTAATCCACACAGAGAATTAAGATAGCTGGTGGGAGTGTGAGATGTATGCATTTTGCATATTCCAATATCACTTGCTTCTTTTAAATATGGTTTTCTATGTTCACCTAGTGTTTCTCAAGGACAAAATTGCCCATACACAAGCGTGAAATTTATGTGATACTTAAATTGTCAGTTACAGCAGAACTGACTCTACATGAACATAATTCAATCAAACATCCATAATATGTAAAGTGCTCTGCTGAGGTTGGATGAGAGAAGGAAGTGTAAAACAGCCTCTGCCCTCAGGGGGCTCACAGTCTGCTAAAAAATAGCAATCTGACTATTACACCACATAACACAATGCTTTAGGAACTCTTAGTATTCCTGTATAGTTGAAACAGTTTGATTGTGGTTGGGCAATGTGAACAGAGGTAAAGCATCCAGGAAATAATTAATATGTAATCTACAACATGCATGTGTATTTCAGCTCTGCTACTTTCTTGCCTTGTAATTTTGGATATGCTACTTTGGTGCTCTGTTCCTCACTCTCCTTGTCTATAAAATCAGGTGATAACATTATCACCCACTTTTTAGAATTACGTGAGGAGTAAAAGGAACTACACCATTTAAAATGCATAAAACAATGCCTGACACATAATAAGCATTCTACTTAGTGCTCATTGTAACTACTATCAGTATCGTTACTACTATCAGTGTTAGATTTATTATTATTTCCATGGATGAGCTGGAATATCACGTAAAGGAGATTGACATTCTACCTAGAAGCAGTAGGAAACCAGCATAAGAATTTAAGCAGGGAAGACAAAGCATAATTTTTTTAATAATAAAGCACGTTGAAATATGGTTTGAGGACAGGTAAAAGAGGAAGCAATTGTACCTCCTTGCTCAATTAAAGTGAAGATTGAGAATGGACAGTTACAGGAAGATGAAGATAAAGAAACATATTAAGACATGAGATCAAAGCTGTAAGTGTTTTTGATTGATTCATTATATGCTAAGTGAGAGAGAGAAGAAATAATCTGCAGAGTTCTAGATTTCTGTTTCAACTAATTGAATAGTTATTCTCAAGACTTAGGAATACAGCTAAAAATAGACTTGAATAAAAAATAATGTCTGGTTCTGGATTTATGAAAATGGAAGTGGCTGTATGATAGCACAATGCATAATTAAAAATAATCATTTTCTTAAAAAGAGACAGGGTCTCACTATATTATCCAGGCTGGACATTGGCTATTCACAATAGTGATTATGTTACACTATAGCCTTGAACTTCTGGGCTCAAGAAATACTCTTGCCTCAGCCTCCTGAGTAGATGGGACTACAGGTGCACACCATTGCACCCAGCCAAAAGTAACAGTCTTAGTTAATGAGAAATGTCTGAATCAGTGATCTGGATTTGGATTGTGCACACTATCAATAGCATACAAATGTGTAGTTCCAAAATTATTATCAGTCCGTTTCACTTTCATTGGCACAGTGCTCTTTACTTGGTGTCTTCATCACAACCCTCTAGTTTCTCAATCTCATCCTAAAATAATTTTGAAATGCTTCCTTTTAACCCATGGATCTATATATGTATACACACATACACACATATATATACATATATATTCATACATATTTATACATACACACACATCTCTGAGTGATTCTGAGTTACTAATTATAACATGTAAAATATTTTCTGTAAAATATTTTCTCCCATTCTCTTCCGTGCTTCTTCTTGTTACCAGCAAAACTATATCACTTGCTACTCTGCAATGTGCCAACTAATTGTCACCCTCATGAGGAACTTTTGCCATTACCACAACTTTAATGGCCTATTGTCAACTGGTTAAAATACTTCCAAGACCCAGATCATGTGCTATCTCCTCTGTTAAGTTTTTCATGAGTGACACCATTAATATGTCTCCATTCTTAAAACTACCTCATTTATCTCCTGATGCTCTGTTTTGGAAATTTTTATATATCTGTCTTATCCAGCAAATATACAATATTTAATTGATTAGCTTATGAAAATTTATATTATTTTCCCACGTGAGATACTGTTAAAGGGATGTTAGGTATAGCAGTGGAGGAAACAAGCCAATATTTGGAATCCTTAACTTGGCGAAACATGTTGTAAAAATAGGTAGTTTTGGCAAGTGATTTTTCAAAGAACAAGATAGTAACTACATAAAACTGTCAAAAATACAAATAGTAGCACAGATTGCTCAAAATGTGATAGAATAATTGCTAAGGAGTGAAAGTTTTTTTAAAAAAATGATCAAAATCTTTTCATAGATATTTTATTGATTTGTTTAAAAATTTTACTGAGCTTAAGATATATCAGAAGGAAAAAAATAAACAAAATAAAACAAACACGCAAAGATCTCTGCCATTCAGATAAGGCATATTCCTTCAGTAGAGGAATAACAGAATTTCCTACTCGATTCAATGAGGGTTGTGGGAAAAACAGAAGTGCCCCAGATGACTGCAGTTTTTTTACCTCAGTTGGCTGCCTTTCAGTGGAAATGAAAAAGTTTAAAAACAGAGCAAATTTAAGGGAAACAAGTTTTAGGCATGTTGTGATTAATTTTCAGTAAATATGCATATGGAGAGGTCTGGTAGGTAGCTGGCTATAAACCATAGCACATCAATTGCTGGGTGATGGGAGCATCCATCAAATGTGCAAACTACTCTTTGGATCTCAGATCTGGAGACATGTTTAACAATGGCCTATGCTAGAATTGCCATGGTGATCATAAAAAGCAGACCCACTTTTAATCAGACTTAATATATTCTCTGCAAATTATGACACCACCCGACACGACTTTTCCTTCACTCTTGGCATGGCATTGAATATATGGGTATGATATGTAGGGGCAGACTGGACTATGGATACATTTTGGAATTAAGAGCATATTATATAGTATTTAAAGCTCTGAGTCTTTATGAGACCAAGCATAGTGTTTGAAGATAGAGAAGGAAAAGCACCAAGAACTGATTTTACTTAAAAAGATCAATAAAAAAGGAGGAAAGAATAAAGTGACTGGAGAGGTAAGAAAAGCACTAAGTTACTATGGAGTTGTAAAATCCAAGTGAAGAAAGTGAAAAGGAAAAAATCTGAGGTGACAAAAAGAGAAATCAGTGGTCACTTTATGAGTTCAATGAGGGCTGAGAACTGACCCGGAATTTAGCGATATGGTCATAACTTACAACTATGAAAAGAACAATTTTATTGCTGAGGTACAGATGAGAGATTGATTAGAAGAAAATTAAGAGACAATTGGAAAAAATAATTTGGAGAAAGTGCGATAAACTTTTCCAAGAAGATTTGCAGTCAAGAATAACAAAGAATAAAGTAATAAGACAGTTAGTATAGAGTCAAAAATGTTGTTTTTATGATTGTTTGTGAGATTGAGAGAAATAACAGAATCTTGTTTGTTTTTTGTATATTTAAGATGAAGGCATTTGATAGAAAAAGGTTACAGCCTCTCAGAATGAGGCATTTCTTTACTTCTATAAACTATTACTAAGATAGTACCTGAAATATAAGTAAGCTCTGCAGTCCAAAGACTTATATTCCATAATTTTATAATGCAATTGCATAATGGCTAAGCAGATTAACACTGCTGTTATTCAGTCTGAATATAAATTTCTGCTCTACTGAGAGGATTCTTAGAAACTTGGAAAAACAAATAAGCCATTCTTTGTTCCAGGTTCCATCAGTAAAATAGTCTTTTTTTAGCCATCTCATAATGTTGTTATGAAATTTGTATGACAATGAGTCCAAAGTTATCATAATGCCTAATACTTCATAAGCAGCTAAAACATCATACAATCATTTATATTTTCATATTATCAACACTCACGAGAATGTATAGCTGCAAGACTTTACATATGCAATGTGTTGATTTACTTTATATTATTGTTAAGTGTGTGTGTGTGTGTGTGTGTTTAAATACACTATCAAAGAATACTTTTTTGCTACTAAACTTCTTTGTATGGATTTCATGTGAAAAACACCTGTAATTAGAAATATAAAATAACAAACTTAAATTGTAAAGATTATCTATCAAGATACAATAGCTAATTTTATTTCTAACTCTGGAATATTTAAAACATTTTCTTCAAAATCAGAAAAACTCAAGGATGCTTACAAGCATCTTTATTGATTATATTCAATAAGCAGTATTTTAGCCAATGTAATATGACAAGAAAATAGATAAAAGTTATAAGAACATTAAAAAAAACTGCCTTTCTTATCAAATGACATGATGTTCACACAGAATATTCAAAAGAACCACAGGCAAATTATTGGTTATTAAAATTAATAAGAAGGCTGAGGTCAGGAGTTTGAGACCAGACAGGCCAACCTGGTAAAACCGCATCTCTACTAAAAATACAAAAATTAGCCAGGTTTGGTCGCTCACACCTGTAATCCCAGCTACTTGGGAGGCTGATGCAGGAGAATTGCTTGAACCCAGGAGGCAGAGGTTGCGGTGAGTTGAGATTGCACCACTGCACTCCAGCCTGGGGGACAGAGTGAGGCTCTGTCTCTAAATAAATAAATAAATAAAGGTTTTGATTATTAATAGTGAACGCCTTCATCCTATAAACATAATTGTCATTGATCTCTGTTAAATAGTTAGAGTTTTGTGGATTGATTTCTAATGGCTGTCTCTGTTTTTCCCATTTGTCATTACTGCATCACCCTGTGCAGGTATTATCTTGAGCATTTCTATCTAACATGAAAACATGCCAAAGCAGAAGAATCTAGGCCTTATGTGCCATTCCTCCTTCTTCAGACTATGAAGTTTCCAGCCCTATGACACCATTTCTTAATATTCTGTTGCTCTTCTTTGTACTTTAATCTCCTGATTAATCAAAAAAAGTGACAAATGAGGAATAATAGGTTAATGCAGCAGGATATGCTTTCAGATGTATGCCACTCTATCTGGTAGACTTCTCTTAGTTTTGAATGTAGAAAATATCCAACTCAAAATTGTTTAAGCAATGATTTACTTATTTTGCTCAAAAGCAGGAAACCTATAGGTAGGCAGTCTTCAGTGTTAGGTAATTCAATATTCCAATTATACAATAAAAATGCATGTTTATTTATTTTCACTTTTATCTCAGCAAATATGTCCCTCCAGAGTTGGTTTCATTCCAAGGCTTGTTCTCACATTTGTAAGATGATCTCCAGTAGCAGTTCATATATGTATTCTTAAAATCTATCAGGAGAGACAATTTGTAGCTCCATGTGACTTTTTATAAGAACAGGAAGAATCTTACCAGAAATTCCCAAGAAACAACTTCTTAAATGTTACTAGTGAGTTTTGAGTCATAATAACATTCCTAAACCAAATCTTGACAGAAATAAAGGAAATATTCTTTCTCTAAACTCAGCTTTCACTTGGGTATGTAAGCCACTTGAAGAAGGGGAAAAATAACTAACCATAATAAAGTCTTGTGGGAACGAGGACAGAATAAAAAAAAGGATCTTGGATAGGCAACCAACAGAGTAAAGAACAATTCTTATACATGGCCAATAGAACACAGCAGGTTAGCTGTTAAGCTTACATAATGGGTCTTTGATATGTAAATAATTGGTTCAATAAATATGAAACATGAAAAATATGAAATCTTCTGTCTGCTGGTATGCAAGGCACATAAAATCTCTTGGGTTTTTTAAGCATCTGGAATTTTTTAGAGATAATTGTTCAAATATCCGTGAGCAATATACAGGTGCTTATTAGATATTGTCACTGTGTTTTCCAGGGTTGCTAATCTCATTTTCACTCTCAATCAAAATTTTTTTATTTTGACATATGGCTTTCCTGGTTTACCTTTGATGCAGAAGAATATTTTTAATTAGTGCATTTTCTACCAACATTTTAAAAAATGCTCAGTACCTATAGAAAAACAGATGTAATTGAAAGCTATGGAAAATTAAAAAAAAATGCAACCTTTAGAATCCCACAATGCAACCAGTGGTCACTGACATTCAAGTTGATAGCAGAAATCATTGCAACGAGTGCTTTGATTCTCTTGAATTTATCTCTCTCTCTGAAATAAAAACTCAAATCTCACTGAAATTACCTTAAGGCAATTCTACCTCAAAGTGTAATCCATAGAACTATATATAAAGTAATTTTTACTGGCCTGTGATGTACAGGAATTAAGTAAATAATAAGTACAGAAATTAAGGATAAGTATGTAGAAAATATAACAATTTGATACAGTGATTTTGTGTCTATAAAATATAAAGTTCTAAATATGGTTCGTATTTCATGTAGCTCTTTTTCATTTACTTTTCTAATGATTTACAATCTTTTTTTTTTCACAAAAGTATTATTCCACTAATATTGGGAAAATAATCTATCACCTTGATGCAATGAGTTTGAAAAGCACTTATCTAAATCTTCCATACTTTTCATACCTTCCTAAATTTTGTAGGTTTTCTGAAAATTACATCATCAAAGGATATATAAGGTAGACTAACAATTGGAGCAGAAAGATAAATTATGCTACTCTAATTGCTATAATAGAAAGCAAACTGGACTTGAGATCAAGACCCAGTTTTTATTTTAAACTTAACCTTTTTTAAAAGTTTTGTTTTGGTTAAACATCTGGAAAGTTGGTGTGGTGGCTATTTAAATCCAAATATTTGCACAATATTTTCCCAAATTTATAGAAAATTTATATTTTCTATAAATTACACAAATCAAGAAGGAAATAACCTACAATATAAATTCCACATCTTCAGCTTAACTAGAAAGCAAAGAACACCCAAACAATTTTAGCAAGGTTATCTACTAGACTTTTGGCATAGGCTTTATTGGTGTGCTACTGGGGCAGGGAGTAAGTGGGTGGATAACTTTGCAGAAAAGAGAATAGGTGGAAAGTAACAACCTAAAAGACTTTAAAAACATCCACTTAAAATGTTGCCCATGGATAAAGAAAATATGGTACATATACACCATGGCATACTATGCAGTCATAAAAAAGAATGAAATTATGTTTTTTTGCAGCAATGTGGATAGAGCTGGAGGCTAATATCATAAATGAATTTAGACAGGAACAGAAAATCAAATACCACATGTTCTCACTTATAATTGAGAGCTAAACATAGAGCTAATGTGGACAAAAAGAGGGAAATAATCAACACTGGGATTTACTTGAGGGTGAGTCATGGGAGGAGGATGAAGATGGAAAGACTACATATTGAGTAGTAGCTCATTACCTGGGTGACAAAATCATTTTTACACCAAACCCCAGCAACACACAATTTACCCATGTAACAAACATGCATATGTATCCCCAAACCTAAAACACAAATTGAAAGAAAAAATAAATTAATAAATAAAAGGTCAGATGCTGTGGCTGATGCCTGTAATCCCAACAGTTTGGGAAGATGAGGTAGGTGGACTGCTTGGGGCCAGGAGTTCAAGACCAGCCTGGGCAACATAGTGATACCCCATCTCTAAAACAGTACAAAAATTAGCCAGGCATAATGGCGTGTACTTATAGTCACATCTACTCAGGAGACTGAGGTGGGAGAACCACCTTAGCCCTGGAGGTCAAGGCTGCAGTGATCTGTGATCACTCCATTGCACTCCAGCCTGGGTGATGTAAGTGAGGCCTTGCCTCAAAATAATTAATTGATTAATTAATTAAAAAATAAATGAAAGAAAAAGTCCAACCTATGTGAAGACACATTAACAAGGAATCCTAATAAATCAGAACATTGACAGGGAGGGAACATAAATGTTCCTGAGAGTCAAAATGACATCTAATAAAGACATTATTTTTGTGGGACAGGGAAGAGATTTTAAAAAAAATGAGTGAATGACCATGGCCTGTGACACAGTTCTCGAAAATCCTGAGAACATGTGCCCATGGTAGACAGGCTATAGCTTGGTTTTATACATTTTAGGGAGACATAAGACATCAATTAATACATGTAAGATGTACATTAGTTTGGTCCGGGAAGGTGGCACAACTTGAAGTGGGGGCTTCCTGGTCATAGGCAGATTCAAAGACTTTGTGATTTGTGATTGGTTTAAAAAGTTATCCTCTGAAGAGCTGGAATCAATAGAAAAGAATGCCTGGGTTAAGATAAGGGGTTGTGGAGACCAAGGTTTTATCATGCATATGAAGTCTCCAGGCTTCAGAGCTCTTACCAGATTTAAAAATGTTCTAGACTCGGCTGGGTGCGGTGGCTCATGCCTGTAATCCCAGCACTTTGGGAGGCTGAGGCAGGCAGATTACAAGGTCAGGAGATCAAGACCACCCTGGCTAATATGGTGAAACCCCATCTCTACTAAAAATACAAAAAAGTTAGCTGGGCGTGGTAGCAGGCACCTATAATCCCAGCTACTCAGGAGGCTGAGGGAGGAGAATGGCGTGAACCCAGGAGTTGGAGGTTGCAGTGAGCCCAGATTGCGCCACTGCACTCCAGTCTGGGCAACAGAGCAAGACTCCATCTCAAAACAACAAAAACAAAAACAAAACAACAAAGAAAGCTCTAGACTCAGTTAATTCTCTCCTGGATCAGGGAAAAGACCTGGAAAGGTATGGAGATTCTCTATAGAATGTAGATTTTCCCCATAAGAGACAGCTTTACAGGGCTATTTCAAAATATGTCAAAGAAATATATTTTGGGGTAAAATACTTCTGTTTCTTTCAGGGCCTGCTATCTGTCATCTGATGCTATATTAAAGTCAAGGTAGAATTTGGTGTTTTATTGTTACAAAATGTCTGTTATCTGTCTTAATCTCTGTTTTAATGATAATACTGGTCAGCATTCTCCGAATTCCAAAGGGAGGAGGGTAAAATAAGGCATGTTCATGTCTGACCACCCATTCCCATCATGGCCTGAAGAGTGTTTCAGGTTTGCTTTAGAGTGCCCTGGATGAGAAGAGGGGCCCATTCAGTTAGTCAGAGGACTTAGAATTTCATTTTTGGTTTTCAGTGGTGATGGCTGTAATTCAGTGTGAATGTAATAAATATCACAGAACTGTATACTCAAGAATGCTTAAAAGGGTAAATGTTGTTATGTATATTTTACCACAATTAAAAAAACAACAGTGATCAAAGGTGAGATGATTAGTTTTACATGTTGACTTGACTGGGCTGCAGCATGTCTAGCTATTTAGTTAAACATTATCCATAATAAGTCTGTGAGAGTGTTTCTGAATGAGATTAATATTTCAGTCAGTAGATTGAGTAAAGCACATTTCTGTGGATGACACTCCAATTTGTTAAAAGACTGACCAGAAAAGAAGTCTGAGTAAGAGAGATTTCACTCTGCCTTTAAGCTGGGACATCCATCTTTGTCTGCCTTCAGGTGAAGTCAAGAAACACACGCATGGTTCTTTTGGGTATCTAGCCTGCCAAGAGTGGATCTTGAGATTTCTCAGCCTCCATAATCACATGAGCCAACTCCCTATATCTATCTAATCTATCTATGTATCTATCTATCTATCTATCTAATATATATTACTGGTCTGTTTCTCTGGAGAACCCTAAAACAAAATAAAAATCTATTGAAATAATTTTGTGGTATTTGTCTTTAGTTCTGTTTACGTAATGAATCACATTTATTTATTTGTGTATGTTGAACCAATCTTGCATCCTGGAGATGAAGCCAACTTGGTCATTGTGGATTAGCTTTTTGATGTGCTGCTGGATTCAGTTTGCAAGTATTTTGTTGGGGAATTAAAAATGCATACAGAACTCAAAAAAGAGCCTGACTAGCCAAGGCAATCCTAAGCAAAAAGAACAAAGCTGGAGGCATCACGTTACGTGACTTCAAACTATACCACAAGGCTACGGTAACCAAAACAGCAAGGTATTGGGGAAAAAAAAAGAAAAAAAAGAAAAACGCACATTGACCAATGGAACAGAATAGAGAGCTCAGAAATAAGGTCACATATCTATAACCATCTGATTTATGACCATCTGATAACTGGCTAGTTATATGCAGAAGATTAAAGCTGGACTGCTTTCTTATACCATATACAAAAATCAACTCAAGATAGATTAAAGACAAAGGTAAAACCCAAAACTATAAAAACCCTGGAAAACAGTCTAGGCAATATTATACTAGACATAGGAACTGGCAAAGATTTCATGACAAAGACCCCAGAAGCAACTTCAACGAAAGCAAAAATTGACAAAAGGGATCTAATTAAAGAACTTCTGCACGGCAAAAGAAACTATCAACAGAGTAGGCAGAGAACCTACAGAATGGGAGAAAGTATTTGCAAACAATTCATCTAACAAAAGTCTAATATCCAACATCTATAAGAAACTTAAACAAATTTACAAGAGAAAAACAACACCATTTAAAAGTGGGCAAAGGACACCAACAGACACTTCTCAAAAGAAGACATACATGTGGCCAACAAGCACATGAAAAAAAGCTCAGTATTACTGATCATTAGAGAAATGCAAATCAAAACCACAATGAGATATCACCTCACCGGTCAGAATGGCTATCATTAAAAAGTCAAAAAATAACACATGTTCATGAGGCTGTGAAAATAATGGAAGACATACACTTAGTGGGAGTGCAAATTAGTTCAATGATTGTGGAAAGCCATATGGTGATTCCTCAAAAAGCCAAAAGCAGAACCACAATTCGGCCCAGCAATCCCATTACTGGGTATATACCCAGAGGTATATAAATCACTCTACTATAAAGACACATGTACACAAATATTCATTGCAGCACTACTGACAATAGCAAAGACATAGAATCAACCTAAATGCCCATCAATGACAGATTAAAGAAAATATGGTATATATACCCCATGGAACACTATGCAGCATAAAAAAGAATAAGATCATGCCTTTTGCAGGAATATGGATGGAGCTGGAGGCTATTATCTTTAGCAAACTAACTCGGAAACAGAAACCCAAATACAGCAGGTTTTTACTTATAAGTGGGAGCTAAATAATAATAACTTATGAAAATAAATAAGAAAACTTCAGACACCAAAGTCTACTTGACAGGGGAAGGTGGGAGGAGGAAAAGGAGAAGAAATGATAACTAATAGTACTGGGCTTAATGCCTGGGTGATGATATAATATATGCAACAAATCCTCATGACACATGTTTACCTATGTAACAAACTTTCACATGTACGTCCAGACCTTTAATAAAAGTAAACAAAAAATTAAAGGGTAGTCATAAAGATGAAACATAGGAACTCACAAAGAAAAAATAACCATTGAAATAGAAGGAATATAACAATTGAAGATAATATTTTGTAAGCCTCTATAAAAATGAATTTGAAATTTTTGAAGAACTGGAAAAAGTCCTAGGGGGCTTGGATTTGTAAAAATTGACCCAATTAAATAGAGAAAGCTTAAAGAGAATAAATTAGATAAAAATATAGAAAGTTTTCAAGAAACAATTCTAGCAAAAGTTCTAGGCTCAGATGTTTAACTTACAAAGGCCAGATAATCCTGAAAATGCATACATTATTTACAGATCATAAAAATTAAAGGAAAATATATAAATTATTTAATTATTTTATGGGACAAGGATAATATTATTTACTAAACCTGATACAGTACTAAATAAGTAAATAAAACCACTGTAATATCATATCAATTATGGATATCAATGCAAAAATACTAAATAAAATATCAGTAAACAGAATTTAATACCACTTTTAAAATTGCCAACAATAAATAAGTGGGATTTATTTTATAATACTAATACCAAATCAATGTTTAAAACTCCATTAAAATAATGAACCCTAGTAATAGATATAAACAGAAAACTTTTATGATTATCTCAAAGCTGAAAAAGCTTTTTTCCAAAATCCAATATACATTTCTGATATAAATAGTCAAGAAGGTTGCCTGTAGTCCCAGCTACTCGGGAGGCTGAGGCAGGAGAATGGCATGAACCGAGGGAGGCGAGGCTTGCAGTGAGCTGAGATCAAGCCACTGCACTCCAGCCTGGGCGACTGAGCAAGACTCCATCTCAGAAAAAAAATATATATATATAGAATGTATAAATATCTTCTCAAAATTGTATATGTGTGTTTTTGTATTTGTGCATAGGTGAATGTGTGTGTGTATGTCTTTGCTTGAATATAACTTAATCCTAAAAGAAGCATTACATCTATTAGGAAAATACTTACTCTAGGTTTTCCAGTTCAGGAAACCATTACAGATGCTCACTATTTCCACTACTACATGAAATTAAACTAGTGACATCAATCAATGTGAGAAGTCATGGAAAATGTGTTAGAAAAATAATAATTGAAACAACAAAGTGAAATTAGCTTTATTAGCTGATGATAAAATAGTGTACTTGCAAAATCATGAAATCAATACATAAAACTGTCTCACACAATAAGATAAATCAGTAAGGCATCAGGATATACAATTACTCCCCAGAATTAGTAGACTTTGTATGCACAAATAGCCAGTTTGAAAAAATAATGGTTGTTACAAACTAATGTATAGTAACAACCATGAAGACAAAAATGCATAAAATGAACTTAAATAATTGGGAAAGCTATATAAGAAAAAATTGTAAACACCCTGAAAGATACAAAAACAGATATAGTTAAATGGAAATATATTTCTTTTTACTTGGATAAATGATTCATAGACATCATAAGCAGGTCAGTTGCTTTTTAAAGTTTAAAACTTCTCAAAAGGAATACAAATAATATTTTTATGAAGCTAGACAAATTAATAGTAAATTTGACATAAAATAATTATAAACAAATATGTAGAAAAACATAAAAAAGCTACAATGGTATATTAGCCCTATCAGGTATTAAATATACCATACAGTCTTTACATAATTTAAATAGCCAGAAAGAGTTAAGAGTAGACTAGAAGGTCCAGAAATAAATTCTAATATATATGAAAATTAGCGCATTACATCTATCTCAAATCTTTAGGGCAAATATGCACTTTTTAATAAGTAATGATGGAACAACCATGTAACTATATAGAACAAGAAAATATATCCATACTCTATAACATACACAATAAAAAGCTCCAAATGACTTCAATATCTAAATGTAAAAATGAATGAATGAATAAAACCATAGGAATATTAGAAGAAATTCCACTTCAGCATTGGTGTAGAAAAAGCTTTTATATTTATAATTTAAAACTCAAATGCAATAAAATAGTAGTTCTCAATTAGATATGATTTTGTTGTACAGGTAACATCTAGAAACGTCTGTGGATAGTTTGGTTGCAACTGAAAAGAAAATGAGGTGTGTGTTACTGGTATCATGTAGGTAGAGGTCAAGAATGAGACTGTACATCCTACATTGCACAGGTCAATTCCCAGAACAAAACATTTCATTGTTCAAACTAGCCATCATGCTGCAGCTGAGAACTCTTAAAACAAGGGAAATGGTAAATACATTTTACTACATTAAAATGCATCTTTTGCTTGTCAACAATATTCAAAGTCAAAAAAACTGTGAGAAAATTTTTGCAAGATATATAAAAAATAAAAAGGTAGTAACCCTAACATATTTTTTAAAATCTACAAAGTTAAGATAAAAGGACCAAGAATTAGATAGAAAAATGGGCAAAGGCCATGAAAAGACTCTTTACATTCCCTCACATTCACACACAAGAGTTTTAAAAAGTGATCCTTAAAATATTGAAATGCTGACCCTGCCATAATAGAAAGACCTTATTGAGCATCCCAGGCATTTATATGTAGCACATTAAAGGCTGTGAGTGAAGAGTAAGGACCATGCTCCAGAATAAAGGTTAGAACACTTTTACTTTCCTTGTCCATGTGTTCTCATTGTTCAATTCCCACCTATGAGTGAGAACATGTGGTGTTTGGTTTTTTGTCCTTGCGATAGTTTGCTGAGAATGATGGTTTCCAGTTTCATCCATGTCCCTACAAAGGACATGAACTCATCATTTTTTATGGCTGCATGGTATTCCATGGTGTATATGTGCCACATTTTCTTAATCCAGTCTATTGTTGTTGGACATTTGGGTTGGTTCCAAGTCTTTGCTATTGTGAATAGTGCTGCAATAAACATACATGTGCATGTGTCTTTATAGCAGCATGATTTATAATCCTTTGGGTATATACCCAGTAAGGGGATGGCTGGATCAAATGTATTTCTAGTTCTAGATCCCTGAGGAATCGCCACACTGACTTCCACAATGGTTGAACTAGTTTACAGTCCCACCAACAGTGTAAAAGTGTTCCCATTTCTCCACATCCTCTCCAGCACCTGTTGTTTCCTGACTTTTTAATGATCGCCATTCTAACTGGTGTGAGATGGTATCTCACTGTGGTTTTGATTTGCATTTCTCTGATGGCCAGTGATTGTGGGGTGGGGGAGGGGGAAAGGATAGCATTATGAGATATACCTAATGCTAAATGACAAGTTAATGGGTGCAGCACACTAACATGACACATGTATACATATGTAACAAACCTGCACGTTGTGCACATGTACCCTAAAACTTATAATAATAATAAAATTAAAAAAAAGAATTCTGACAGATTAAAAAATAAACAAATAAATAAATAAAAAATAAAAAATACACACACACAAAAGAAAACTTTTACTGTAGAAGGCTAAATAGTAAATATTTTAAGCTTTGTGAGACATACAATTTCTGTCACAACTGCTCAAATCTACCATCATAATGTGAAAGCGGCCATAGACTAGACATAAATGAATAAGCATGACTGTGTTCCAATAATATCTTTTCATGAAAACAAGCAACAGGCCAGATTTGGGCTATGGGTCATAATTTGCTTAACCCTGACTTAAAGTCAAAGGCATGATTTAGGACCAGGTTCTAGACTAAAATGGGCCTGTTTTAATAAGGAATAAAAGTATACCTAACAGGGACAAGATAATTTTCCAATAATTTAGCTTACAATTGAACAAAACTCAAAACCATTTTTAAAAAAATGGTGACATAATCTCATGAATCATCATCAATGTCAAACATGCCATCAGAAATTTTTAAAATACACAAAGAAGCAGAAAATGTGACTCATAGTCTCAGGAGAAATCAGTCAAGGAAAAAAAGTGAAATGACCCAGATATTTGTATTAAGTAAGGACTTAAAAGTAGTTATTGTAAATATGTTTAAGAATTTGAAGTATGGATTATGACTGCACAGACAGGAAATAGTAGAAGATAAAGACAGACTATATAAAAAGAACTGAAATGAAATTGTAGAGCTGAAAATGACCAGATCTGAAATAAAAACTTTACTCAATTGACTTAACATTTTATTAGATACTGCACAAGAAAATCAAGTCAATAGGAATTATCTATTCTGAAGGAAAAAATAGAGAAAACTGTTTAAATTATATAGAGACTTGCAAACCATAGGACAATAGTAACTGGAGTTGCAGAGAGAGGAGAAACTTAATAGAGCTGAAAAACATATTTGGCAATATATGAGTTCAAATTTTCCAAAATGTTGAAAATAAACAATATGTACAGTTCCAAGTGGCTCAGTAAACCTCAAGCAGGATAAATGCAAAAAAAGAACCATGCTTAGGCACATAATTAAACTGACAAAAGCTAAAGATGTCTTAAAAAAATTCCGAATTAAAAAAAAACCTTATTGAAACAGCAATATGTATAACTTACTATTTATAACTAACTCTGAAAATCAAGAAAAAATGAGATTACATGAAGAAAGAGACATAAATTCCGTCAACCCAGAATACTATAACCAGCAAAAATGTCCTTCAAAAATGAGTGTCAAGTAAAAATATTTTCAGTAAACAAAAACTGAGGTAATTAATTGCTCATAGAATTGCATTATAATAAATGCTAAAGGAAATTGTTTAAGCTGAGAGAGACATACACATATATGCACATATTTAATATATATGAAGAAGAAAGAGAAAGTAAGGCAAATGGAGCAAAATATAGACAATTAGTGAAAATGGATAAAGGACATATTGGAATTTCTTGGTGGTTTTAAATAAATTAAAATCACACAAAAATAAACTGCTCCAAAATAATGTTTTATTCACCAAGATGACCTTGGTGAATATCTTTTCTATGCACATGATTTGTATAGATGTACATGTGTATGTGTGTTGTATGTTTATAAATGAAACAAAATGGTATATTTTTCTTTTAATCTTAGTAATGTCGCTAACTAGACAAGTGACTCTATGTTTAACCTTTATGAAAATAACTTTCTGTAACTGGAGAATGAACATAGTTATATTAATTTTACATTCCTCAAAAAATGAGTATATATGTGAAATTCTTCAATCTTTAGAAATACAAAATCTTATGAGATTCCCATTGTAACTGGTGTGAGTAATGAGCCCTTTTTCTTATTACTATAAACATTCAGTCAAGATAAGTTTAACTTTACGGCCACTGAGGCCATTTAAAATTATGGAATTCTATAATTTGATCATTTAGAAATACTTTATGTCAATGAACACCAGCAAATGTGTACTATGCTTACTACCTGAGTGGTGATATAATCTGTGCACCAAACCCCCAGGACATGGAATTTACCTGTATAACAAACCTGCACAAGAACCCTCAAACCTAAAATTAAATTTGAAAAAAAAAACTGCTAATATAGTTAGGTACCAATGTGATCTAAACCTAGAATCATGCAATAAAGTTATTAAAATTGTAGATCTTGAATGGCAATCCTAGAAATTCTTAGTAAACCTGAGCTTTCTCAGGCATAGTTCATATCATGTATTTTGTTTTCTGCCTATTGCCATACTTTTTGTTTCTGTAAACTGGACACTTGACTATTACAATGCACCAACTTTAGAAATCAGATTCTATCTCCTTCCTGGGGATTTGTCAAGATTTGTTGTTCATTCTATTATACTTATTGTTGGCTTCTTTGGTACTATCGTGAACTTAGTCCATAAAGTCTGTATTATTTCTTATAAATGTCTCCTGCAGTTTCTGTTATGTTTTCTTCATGATCAGCTAATGGTCATTTTTTCTTTAAGTGACTAGAACCAAAAAATCTCCTAGTCTCTGCTGAGGGATTCTGTGTCTATTTGGGGCACATTTTCCACATTTATCAAGGCAGTTAACAACTTTGCCTTAGCCTTCACTTCCTGCTTTCATTAAGCTTCAGGTTCAGCAGGAGATGAGATCTTAGTAAAGTCTTCTTATATCTTTCCTGAACACACATACAGCCCTGAACATGTAGGTGGGATTTTAGATTCCAGGAATATCTTGGGGTTTTTCAAAACCCTTAACAACATTTCGTTCCTGAGCCTTTCTTCTCAAGCTTTTTGGTTAGCTTATTATCTGTTCCAGTTGCTATCTAGTACCTCAGGCAGTGGCAACCTAAGATATTAGTTTATAAATATTTTCGCCATACCACCAGGGAAGCAGCTTTAGTACTAAACTAGCTTAAAGTTTGTTCAAATAAGCACAAGCCTTTTAAACTGTTCTTTCAGCAAGCAACTGGGAACAGGTCAAATCAAATAACTAATTACAGTTTTTTACAAGTAATTCCTCTTTTATACATTTTGGTACTGGAATATAGCCTGTTTTCTCCTCCTCCTCCTTCTGCTCCTCCTCCAGGCTCTCACTCTGTTGCCCAGGTGGGAGTGTGGTGGTTTGATCATGGCTCACAGTAGCCTCTATCTCCCAGGCTCAAGCAATCCTCCCACTTTAGCCTCCCACATAGCCAAAGCTACAAGTGTGTGTCACCACACCCAGCCAATTTTCTAATTTTTGGAAGAGACAAGGTCTCTCTCTGTTGCCTTGGCTGGTCTCAAACTCCTTGGTTCAAGCAATCCTCCCACCTCAGCCTTGCAAAGTGCTGGAAGTACAGGCATAAGCTACCATGCCCATCCTCAGCCTGTTATTTTCATGGGTACCAAGCTTGGGAGTAAACAATGGCTAGGGGCAATTTAAAATGCCACAGAGTTTGCTATTATTACCAAGAATCAGCTATTTTTTTCCTTCAATAAATGGTCCCTAGTTTTTCTTGAATAAGAGTTCCCAACAAAGCTTTCACAAGCCTTTGGGTAATACCTAGAATTTCAACAACAACAAAGAAAATTGATTCCAACAGTTTTTATCTACTTTTTAATATTTTTTTAATGGAAGGGAAGAATTTGAAGTTCTTTACTTTACTTTTTTGGTTGACATTGCTTCATTTTTTTTTTTGTTTTTGCTAAATTACAAAAAAAGTAAATTATTATTTCTACATTTTATTTGTATAAATAAATTGTACCTATATGTATGTATACATATATAATTATATGTGTGTGTGGATTTTTTAAAAACTGCACTTTATATTTCATGATAAGTTGTACTGTGCTTCACTCATTATTTAAACCTATTTTGATCATGTACCCTTTCGCCCATTAGTATAGTATTTGAACATTTTTGCCTACCTTTTGGAAAAGATAAGATAAAAATATTGGTGGTTAGCAATCGCATATTTGGACTCCATGCTTATGATTTGACCTCATAGTCCCTTGAGCACTATTGACATTTTTGCTTATGAGTATGTTGAAAATAAGTCCTGATTTGCCTGATTCCATTCTGATTTACACCTATATCTGGTTGTGGCTGTTAAAAAGCACATTAAAAAAAGGAAAAGAGAGAGAGTCCTGGTTTAGACTCTACATTATATGATGACCCTACTTACAACATTTCCAAAAAAAAAAAAAAAAAAGAGTATGTCAGTGAATTTCAATGATACTCAATTTAAAAAACCCTTCCAGTATTTCCACTAAAAATCAAAAGCTCTGAGAAATGGTTATGTGAAGTACAGAAGCCTGGTTTAAATGTTGAGTCTACCTACAACAGAACTTAGCAAGTAATTTCTCTTAACAGTGTTTCAATTTTCTTTTTGTAGCACGAGGTTTGTAAACTAGTAATTCCTTAGGCTGACTTAGATATAACAAGCTTTTTAATCTCTTATGTGTGTTTATCAAATATTGAAAGGTTTTGATAGAGTAAATTTAAATATATTTTGAATCAAGACCAATATTGTTAACTATATGTGAGATATTTTTTAGTAAGTTCTATGATGTTATAAAGGAGTCCCTTGGAGCCAGCACCCCTGTGAGGTTCACTCTTTAATAAAATTTTAAATAAAAAGCAAGACTGTTCTCTAAATAGATAGAATACTTTAGCAATTTATTATCCCAAGAGACTATGAGATAACATATATAGGTGTCTACATTAAGAAATAATTTAATGGCATTAAAAATTATATTTATAAAATATTTAAAGTTATAAATACTCATGATAATTGTATATAAAAAGAACTCTACAATATATGCAACATAATCCAAAGTTTTCATATATTTTAAAAGAAAGGAAGAAAATGAGACCATGTATTAATATTATGAGCTGAATTGTGTCCCTCTAAATTCACATGTTAAACTCCTAACCCCTAGTATTTTAAAATATGACTGTATTTGGAGTTAGAAACTTTAAGAAAGTAGATAAGACAAAGTGAACTCATGTAAAAAATTGTTCTTAAAATACAGAGGGGATTAAATACTAGCTCTGCCACTTACTAGGTTTGTGAACTTTCTCAGTTGCAGATTCCTAATCTGTGAAATAAGGATTAAAAACTCTATCTTACTACATTATTGCATATAACTTGTTTATTTATGTCACTGATACTCTATAAGTATCAATAAGTGATGGTGGTAGCATTAATATCTGTAAAAGTAGTACCAGTGTGGATAATGGCATGGCTAAAAAAGATGTTTTTTAAAAATGTAATTATGTGTTTTCCAAATTTCCTACAGTGGTCAAACTGTACTAATTTGGAAAAAATTAATGAATTCAATTTAAAAATATTTTTAGAATATATAGATAAAGTCCTTATAGTTAATCATCTGTAAAAAGTGCTGTCTTATTCCACTTAGGCTGCTATAACAAAATATCATAAACTGGATGGCTTATAAACAATCCAATATATTCCTCACAGTCAGTTCTGGAGGCTGAGGAGTCCAAGATCAGGAGGCAAGTAGATTTAATGTCTGGCATTGATATAGTTTGTATATTTGTCCCCACCCAAATCTCATGTTGAAATGTAATCCCCAATGTCGGAAGTGTGGCCTGGTGGGAGGTGTAGAGATCATGGGAGTGGATTTCTCGTGAATGGCTTGGGCCATACCCTTGGTGATAAGTGAGCTCTCCCTCTGAGTCCACATGAGATCTGTCAATTTAAAAGTATATGGCACCTTCCACAGCTCCTCTTTGCTCCTGCTTTTGGCATGTGAAGTGCCTGTTCCCACTTCACCTTCTGACATGAGTCAAAGTTCCTTAAGGGTCCCCAGGAGCTGGGCAGATGCCAGTGCCATGCTTGCTGCATAGCCTGAAAAAACATGAGCCAATTAAACCTCTTCTTTAAAAAATAAATTACACAGTCTCAGGTATTTCTTTATAGCAATGCAAGAATGGCCTAATACTCTCCTGGTTCTTAGATGCTTGTCTCCTACTCGTGTCCTCAAATGGCAGAGAGAGAAAGCAAGCTCTCCTGGGATTGCTGTAAGGACAAAAATTCCATTCATGAGGGCTCAATTCTCATGACCTCATCTAATCCTTATTACCTCCCAAAGACCCCACCTTCTAACACTGTTACAGTAGAGGGTATAGTTTCAGCATATGAATTATTGGAAGTACAAAAGTATTCAGTTTATAACAAGTGTTAACATTTTTAAACACATCTGCCAATGACCTCTAGATGCAGGCCTGCACTCAAACAAAGTTGGGTTTATTTAGCTTCCAGCAGCAAAGAAGAATATACATAAGAGGAAACAAACAGCATCTTGGTAAAAGAGAGTTATGAATAGGTTATTATGGAACTCGAATATGTACAAGATGATTTTAAGGAGGTTGTACAGAAAGCAGTGGCCATTTCGGAATTGCAGGCTGTCAGGAAGCAGGGGTAATGTTGTGATAGGGTATCTTTGTAACTTTTAGCTAGAGGTGAGAGGATTAATGTGAAATTAGAGCTGTTACTGGTGAACAAATAGTGATCATTCATGTTGGCTGGAAGAGGAGATACATATTTTTGTGGGTCCATGGTGTCTTTTCCAGCTAGTTTCATCATAGAGTCTCTGGGTCACTGTTACGTTCCTCCAAGGTCACACAGTGGGTTTGTCTGTGAAAGTTTCGTTTTGTGTTTTTGGTTCATGTTCAGTTGCTAACAGCCCAGCCTGGCTTCTTTGGCTCTCAGCTTCTAGCTGCTAACTGCCAGACTTTCTCTTCTTCTTCTTCTTCCTCTTTTTTTTTAATTTTCTTAACTTTCTTGCAGTTTAAAGACTGCTGATGTGGATGTCCCAGGAGAAATTATGGCATCACATTCTAAATTTCTTAGTTATTCTTTGTAGCCATTTGTCAGTACTAAATAGACCACCCTGCTGGACAAATTGCAAACTGGTGCTCAAACTTAGTTTATAAGTAAATAAGATTGACTCAATATAATATTAATATTACAAGGTTTTTTTTTTTTTTTGCAAAAATAAGGTTGTCTCACTGCAATTCCATTAATTTTTCGATGAAGAATTAACTCCCAGTCATTTGGAGCCTAAAACACACCCCCTCCCAAAGTAGGAGTTTATAGGTAAAGTGTCTATTAAGTGTTATGTATTGAACAACATAGGGAGAAAGATTCGGTATGTTGGCAGGCCTGAATTCTAACTGGTGAATTACTTTAAATGTGATACATTGAAATGATTTGCTTGCTGGGAGAGGTTCTGTGAGCTTGGTGGATTCTCTACTGCTTCCTGCTTACCCCGAAGGCTGCATAAGCTGCGGGGAACATGGAGGAGAAGGTGAAGAGAATCTTATAACCTTGTCTAATTGCTTCTGCATGAAGCACTTGGCTGTCCTGCTGAGATTTCCTGGTGCCTGTGTGTTGGGGTGCAGGTGGGAAATGAGAGGCAGAAGGACATTTGGAGAGAGATTGCTTTAAGCTACTTCCTTATAGCAAGGAACAAAAATGTTCTCATTTCCTTCTATCCTGATGGTGAACTGGAATCCAGCAAAGCTTCAAAAATTAGAGGACTCTCACAGGGCCTCACTGAAAGAAGGCAGGTAATCAACAGAGGCAATTTTTAAAAGTAATAATCAGAGGGGCGCGATGTAGAACTTGCAATTACATGCTGGAGAAAGTTGAACTGTGAAGGGCCTGAATTCACAGGGGGCAAGAATCCAGCTAAGGACCCTGCTAATGAATTCAAAAAGGCTGTTCTTGCTTCGAAAATGTCAAAGAATAAGAATCAGTTAAATCGTAGAAGGGGGAACACAAAAAACCTTAGTGACCGATCATGGTAAAAGAATGTATGAGTCATTTAGATATTGATTTAGGGGAGTTTTTTATTAGATGAAGAAAAAAAATAAATGCTTACTTCTAGGGTTAATAAATTTGAGTTAAAAATTCCTGTGAAGGTTTAGTAAATCAAAAAAGTGCTGAACTCTAAGGTAAAACACACACACACACACACAAATATATATACATATTAAAAAAACCTTTGATAGATTGAACAAGAAAGACCTCAGTGAAGGGCAGCCAATCTACAAAGAATGATTAAGTGGAGGATAAGAGTACCAGGTCTAAGTTAGTTATTTGTGGAGAGCAACACAGAACTAAGACAATGACATTTTGTGTCTTTTGGAAAGCACTGGCTGCTTAAAATACCAACTGCCTAGAGTATGCTTCCTCAGGTAGGATAATCAGTAGGAAACTCTAGCATTCTTAAGAATTGCATGGTAATTTCCAAAAACCTTTTCCATTATTATAAATAATTTACTTAGAGTAAATTAACCTTTTTGATCGTAGACATTGCTATTGTTTCCATACAGGTCCAAGATAGGGAGATTAAGCAACATGAAAATGCAAGGCAATTCTTCCTGAAAACCTTAAGTTTTATTTTCCAGAGTTCCCTGCTATTCCTTTCTGCTCTACTTATCTCATCTCTGGGGAATCCTCCCCAGATACCTCAGGTATGCAGCTACCTGTGAGAAATAGTCCCTCTCCACTATTAAAATGTGCTTTGGGGAAATACTGTGCTAAAGACATTCACATTGAGATGTAGCTGATCAAAATTTGTGTAAACAGTATTTTACTAGGTGGAAAAGCTTTGTAAGGCTGAGGAGTAAAACTTTAATGGAGGGATTCAGATGGAAACCATTAGGTAGAACTTGTCTATGGCACCTATATATGAAATTTCACTAACATCTCCATGTCCTCTTTTCCTCCATGTCATGCTTGCTCTGCTCCCATTTCTGTTTCTAAGAGATTCATTTTAGATTTGACTGGGCTAAGTGAATTCAATGACCACAGCCCCTCAAGGCCTCTTCCCAGATTTAAAGACTTTTCTTTGCTGAAAATAGGGTCCCATGAACTAAAGAGTGACTGAATGCAAAGCATGTCTAGGCACAATTAGGGAAGAGAAAATTGGGGAATTAAGCAAAGTGGTAATAGGACTCAGTAAGACATTACTGAGTACTGACATAGTTAAATGAAACAGGAGGAAAAGAGTTGAAAAGCAAGACTGCTGGGAAGTGATATGGCTGCTGGTTTTGACAAAGAAGGCTCAATCCAACAACACATCTCTTATTTTATTGTTTTGGAATCTTCATTCTCAGCCCAGAGAGTGGCTTGGCAAAGTGAAACATACCTAATTGGACTTGCAGGGTGAGTGTGGCACAAAAAAAAAAGGATGGGTAATAAGGTCAGTTTGTGTTCAGGCATTCTAAAAGTCAGATGAAAGTCAAGGGCCAAGTTGAGAACATGTTCTAAACCCAAGAGGGAACTGAGGCTCTGAACCAGTTAACATCATGATCATTTAAATGACAAGGGTCTTTTCTTCTTTCCCTTTTAGATTAGAGATGACTTCCTCTTGAGCCAAATAGTTTTTTTTTTCCTGTAGTGTTGCTCTTGTTGGTCCTGTGATCTTTGAGTGGGGCTGTAGTTGAAGATGCTAATGACTGCCACTTGTGTTTAGTGGAAAACAAGAAAGAGACAAAAGACCCTGAACACCACTGGCAGTAATTAACAATGCAAACAGCACAGTCAATAAAATTCAATAAATATTTTTGAATATCTACTTAAAACCTGCCACCATGCTAGAGATATAAAGATGGGTAAGTATAAAATCAGAAAAAAACACCACATGGATAATTCACTGTGTTTCAATCTAATACATGTTTTTAGAGGAGCTTTAAATAAAACATTATAGGAGAACAAAATAATAGGTTGCTTCAGAGGAATGGGAATGAATAAAAGAGAGTTTTAGGAAAGGTATCAAAAAATTATGACATCTAGTATAAGCCTCATCATACTCTCATTTCCTTAGAAGAGTTTCATTATTGCTTACGTTTCTCACTTTCTTCCTTCTCTTATTCAAAGAAGGTATAAGCTGACATCTTACATTAAAATGAGGGTGAGCATTATAAAAAATAATAGACTATGGAATCTTTTAACTGGTATAAAGTTCTTCATTTTTTATCAAACAGAAGTCATAATAAATTTAATATTTGCCTTTTTATTTTTTAATCTAAAGAAGGAATTTATACCAAGAGTACTTCAGTGCAAAGACTTCAATTCTGCAAAGGCAGTGCCTTTGGGTAAAGCAACTGTGCTTTTGAGAGGATCTGAATAATTATCACTAGCCTGGACTTCAGAGACTGTGTTTTCTGAAAACAAAAACAAATAAAAATAAATAAAAAGGAAACATAGCAGAGTGCCTCCAAACTGCTGCTCAGCACATTTAGCCTGCTTACCTAGTAAAGCATTTCTTGGAACAAGCCCCCTATTGGTTTCATTTTAGAGAAGTACTTCTATTCACACTGGCATACCTTTGGTGATTGTTGGTTTAAGGGAAATTCAACAGAACAAGCAGGAAAAACTGCTCACAGTTCTGATTCCATATTTCTAAAGATAAGGGTGAATATTGAAGTTACAACATCTTTAGAAAGTCTATGATGTTCCTATAAAAATTGACATCTCTATCTTTCTTAAAATATTTCATTTAAGAAAATGCTTATTGATGTATTAAAATTGTTATAAAAATGTTATTTATATTCAAATTTTATAATAAAAGCATGCAATTTATAGAAAATAGTATTTTTTCCTCAGTTGTGCCAGTTTTTTAATTTAGTTTTCAAATTAATTCTATTATTGCCTAAAGGACTAGATACTTTTTTGTTTTTATGCAGTTTCTCTATAGTTCTTCTTTAATATTCTCCTTTCTTGTTCCTGCTTCATTCCCCTTCCTTTTAGATACTCCATATTATTCTGATTACCTCCTACTTACCCACTGGGAAAAGAGGGATATCTCACCCTAAATAGTGTGAGATAGCTAAATATGTGACACCCAAAACTGGACAGATAAGATTTGCAGCCGTTTATTAGTCACAGATCCTCACAGACTTGGGGAGGGGAACACTACACTCCATACAGGGTCACATTGGCAGGGTTATTTATTTAGAAATACAGTGAACCAGCAGGGGCTATGGTAGGCAGGCTTTGTAGTAACCAGAGGAATGGGGCAGCTAGTCCACCTGATAGTTGAGTGGATAACTTTTCCCAATGTTTGGGAATGATCTGGCAAGAGCAGGGAAACTCATGACTAGATGTCTATAGCTCCATGAAACCCAAAGCTGTCAAGGTAACACATGGAATGTTTAGGTCTGGTAATAAACATATCTATCTAAATGTGTTCTTCAGCAGCCCATGGTCCCAAAGCACTGTACTTTCTAAAAGGAAGCCTTCCAAAGAATGCCTTATGCTCTGTTAAATAAAACTTACTGGAAGCCTTTGTTTTGGACTGACTTTATGCACTTAATCCCAACAGACCAGACCAAGTCAGAATGGTGTCACTTGTGCTAGGTGTCATGTAATTAAACTGAACTTTAAGATGGACTAATTTTCTAAGAAACAGAAAATTTACAGAAGCCGATAGAAAGAAGCCCAGTGTACTCAAGCTGGCATGATAAGGAAGTTCCCTCTGTTGTAACTTTAAAAGGAAAGAAAGTTTGAAATACCAATTCGGTTTTTGTTCGTTGTTTCTGCTTTGCTCAGCCTTTTCTGTCTATAGGACTCAGCTCTTCTGCTCAGCTCATGAGAGTACCTGTTCTATTTCATAGATGTGGTGCTGCCCAGTTCATGAATCACTAATAAAAGTCAATTAATCTTAAACTAAATTTGTTGAAATTTTGGTGTTTGACAGGTCTGATATAAAAATTTCACCACTTATAAAACTAAATTCATTTTCACTTTTGGGAGAAAATGTATCAAATTAATTCTCATGGAGGTAGTCCTTGACTACTCTAACTGCACTATCCACAAGAAAACCACTCATGGTGCTTTAAAAATACACATATCCTGGCCGGGTGCGGTGGCTCACACCTGTAATCTCAGCATTTTGGGAGGCCAAGGTGAGTGGATCACGAGATCAGGAGTTTGAGACCAGCCTGGCCAATATGGTGAAACCCCATCTCTACTAAAAATACAAAAATTAGCTGGGCATGGTGGCACAGGCTTGTAATCCCAGCTACTCGGGAGGCTGAGGGAGGAGAATTGCTTGAACCAGAACCTGGGAGGTGGAGGCTGTTGTGAGCCGCGATCGCACCACTGCATTCCAGCCTGGGCTACAGAGCAAGACTCCGTTTCCAAAAAAAAAAAAAAAAAAAAAAAAAAGAAGAAGGAAAAATACATATATCCTGGCATTACAATTCCAGAAATTCTACCTAGTAGTCTTGAATTACTGCCTACAGACCTGTGTCCAAAAAACAAACAAACAAATAAAACAAAAACCACAAAACTTCCTGCACCTCTTTGTTAAGTTACTGATAGACATAGCAGGCAAATAATCAGTAATGATATACCACCATTAATTAATTGGATCTAACTGAAATTTGCAGACTACTTTATCCAACAACAGCAAAATACACATTTTTCTGAAGCTCACATGTAAGATTCATCAGTATAGACTATATTCTGGGGGAGGAAATCCTTACACCTAAACACATTTAAAGGAATATAAGTTACACAAGCTGTGTTCTCAGACTGCAATGGAATTGAACTAGAAATCAATAACATAAAGAAAGGTGGAAAGTTCAAAATATTTAGGGATTAAACAACATATTTCCAAATAACACAAAAATAAAATGGCTCGAAATTAATTTAAATGTATTTTGAAGTAAACAAAAATGAAAGTACAGCTTATCAATTTGTGGAATGGTGTAAAAGCAGTGCTTAGAGAGAAATTTATGGCATAGAATTAGAATAGAAGAAAGCTGTAAAATCAATAATCTGTTTCTGCCCTAGGAAACTATAGAAATAGAAGTAATTTAATCCTAAAGGAAGCAGAAAATCAGCAATAATAAAAAATAGAAAAGAAATCAATGAAAATAGAACAAGATATCCATAGAGAAAATAATGAAACAAAAGCTTTTTATTTTGAAAAATGATCATAATATCAATAAAATAAAAGATCAACGAAATTGATAAATGAAAGTGGTGTCATGGCTATTGATCTCACAGGCATTAAAAGTATAATTAAAGAATACTGAGAACAGCTGAGCCTTACACCTACAAATGTGATAACCTAGATGAAATGGACCAATTACTTGAAAGACATAAACTACCAAAACTTAAAAAACTGAATAAGTATATATTAATTTAATTGAGTAAGTATATATTAATTTAAAAAATCATAATTAATAGCCTTCCAAACGAGACATCAAGCTCATATTGTTTCACTGGTGAAATCTAACAAATATTTTAGGGAAGTGATATCAATTATCTATATTCTCTTCTATTGCAGAGAATAAAAGCAGATAAAACATGTTTTAACTCATTCCATGAGGTCACCCTTACGAAAACTTGATATCAAAACCCAATAAATACCTTTCAAGAAAGAAAATCTACAAAGCAATATTTCTCCTGAACAGAGATGAATAAATTATCAACACAATATTAACAAATTATACCAACAATGTACAAAAAGAATTATACACAATGACCAAGTAAAATTTGCTCCAAGCAAGACTAGTTCAACATTTTAAAGGCACTTAATTTAATAAATCAGAATGCTATAAAAGAAAAATTATATGAGCATTTCAATTGATGCAGAAAAATAATTTGACCAAATTCAGCATCATTCATAATAAAAACTCTTGGCAAACTAGGATTAGAAGAAACTTTCTCAACTTGGTAAAGAATATCTGCAAAAAATCTACTGCTAGCATTATATTTGATGGCAAAAACTACATATACCTTAAGTTTATGAGTTAGGTAAGAATGTTTACTTTTACTGCTTCTATTCAACATTGTACTGGAAGTCCTAGCTAGTGCAATAAGACAAGAAAAGTTAGTTAAAAGTATATATGTTAAAAAGAATAAATATATTTGTTTCCATGAGGCATGATTATCTATGCAGTAAAATTTCATTGAATTAATAAAAATCTCCTAGAACGAATAAGTGATTTTTAACAAAGTTCACAAGATTAGATTAATATACAAGAGAATTGCTTTCCCATATAACAGCAATGAACCATTTGGGAGGAAATATTTGCAAAACATATATCTGATGAAGTGCTTGTATCTAAAATATTTTAAAAATTCTAAAACTCAGCCTTAAGAAAATAATGCAATTTTCTAAATGGGCAAAAGATTTGAACAGATACCTCACCATATAAAATATATGGACATTCTCTGTCCAAAGTTAGTGACAATAAACGAAGATATACTGATGAGAAATAAGCATATAAAAATATTCACCATTATATGTCCTTAAGGAATTTCAAGTAATAGAAAAACAAGATGCAACTACACAACTATCAGAATGGGTAAAATTCCAAAAAAACAATACCAAATCCTGGCAAAGTTGCTGACCAAGAGCAATTCTCATTCTTTTCACTGCTGGTGAAAATGAAAAATGATGCAGCCACTTTGGAAAAATATTTGGCAATTTCTTATAAATCTAAATATAATTTTACCATGTGATTCAGTTGTTGTGCTCTTAGATATTTATTCAGTTTAGTTGAAAAGTATGTCCACAAAAAAAAAACTTATACATGAATGGTTATGGCAGCTTTATTCATAATTGAATAAAACTGAAAACATCCAAGATGTCACTTAATAGATGATTAGTAAACAAATTACGTTACATTCATACAATGAACTGTTATCTAGCAAAAAAAAAAAAAAAGAAAAAATAGATAAAGATAAATTTGTACTATAAAGATTTATATGTGTCGGGGGTTCAGGAGGAGAAGAAGCTACAGATATAGAATCACAGGGAAATTTTAGAGCAGTGAATCTATTCTGTGTGATATTGTAATCATGGATACATAATATTTTGTATTTGTCAAAACCTATAGTACTGCACAACACAGTTAATCTTTTTTTTTTCTTCAACTTCTATCTTAAGCTCAGGGGTACATGTGTAGGATATGCAGGTTTGTTACATATGTAAACATGTTCCACGGTGGTTTTCTGCACAGATCATCGCATAATCTATGTAATAAGCCCAGCATACGTTAGCTATTATTCTTGATGTTCTTCCTCACCCACCCCCACCCCTCTGACAGGCCCCAGTGTGTGTTATTCCCTGCTTATGTCCATGTGTTCTCATCATTCATCTCCCACTTACAAGTGAGAATATGTGGTGTTAGGTTGTCTGTTCCTGCATTTGTTTGCTGAGAATAATGACTTCCACATGGACTCCATCCATTGTCTCTGCAAACGACATGATCTTATTCCTTTTTGTGGCTGCATAGTATTTCATGGTAGATATATACCGCATTTTCTTTATGCACTTTATTGCTGATGGACATTTAGATTGATTCCATGTCTTTGCTATTATGAATAGTGCTGCAATGAACATACATATGCATGTGTCTTTATAATACAATGATTTATATTCTTCTGGGTATATACCCAGGAATGAGATTTCTGGGACAAATGGTATTTCTGCCTCTAGGTCTTTGATGAATTGTCACACTGTCTTCCACAATAGTTGAACTAATTTACACTCCCACCAACAATGTAAAAGCCTTCGTTTTTCACTGCAACCTCACCAGCATCTGTGTTTTTTTGACTTTTTTTTTTTTTTTTTTTTTGATGAAGTCTTGCTCTCTCCCCAGACTGGAGTGCAGTGGCACTATCCCGGCTCACTGCAACCTCCACCTCCTGGGTTCAAGCGATTCTCCTGCCTCAGCCTCCTGAGTAGGTGGGACTTCAGGCACGCACCACCATGCCCAGCTAATTTTTTTATTTTTAGTAGAGACAGGGTTTCACCATATTAGCCAGGATGGTCTCGAGCTCCTGACCTCATGATCCACTTGCCTCAACCTCCCATAGCGCTGGGATTACAGCATTAGCCACCACACCTGGCCTACTTTTTAATAATAGCCATTATAACTGGACTGAGATGGTATCTCATTGTGGTTTTAATTTGCATTTTTCTAATAATCAGTGATGTTGAGCTTTTCTTCCTATGTCTGTTGGCCACATATATCTTTTCTTTTGAGAAGTGACTGTTCATGTTCTCTGCCCACTTTTTAATGGGATCATTTGTTTCTTTCTTATTTTTGTTTAAATTCCTTGTAGATTTTGTTTAAGTTCCCTTATCAGATGGGTAGATTTCAAAAATTTTCTCCCATTCTATAGGTTGTCTGTTGACTCTGATGATAGTTTCTTTGGCTGTGTAGAAGCTCTTTAGTTTAGTTAGATCTCATTGGTCATTTTTTGCTTTTGTTGCAATTGCTTTTGGCATTTTCATTTTGAAATTTTCCCTTGTGCCTATGTCCTAAATGGTATTGCGTAGATTTTCTTCTAGGGTTTTTATAGTTTTGGGTTTCACATTGAAGTGTTTAATCCATATTGAGCTAATTTTTGTATATGGTAGAAGGAAGGGGTCCAATTTTAATTTTCTGCATATGGATAGCCAGTTCTAGCATCATTTGTTAAATAGGGAATCCTTTTTCCATTGCTTGTTTTTGTCGGGTTTGTTAAAGATGTGATGGTTGTAGATGTGCAGTCTTATTTCTGAGTTCTTGATTGTGTTCCATTAGTCTATATGTCTGTTCTTGTAATGGTACCATGCTGTTTTTGTTACTGTAGGCTTGTAGTATAGTTTGAAGTTGGGTTGCGTGATGTCTCCGGCTTGTTCATTTTGCTTAGTATTGTCTTGGCTATATGAGCATTCTTTGGTTTCATATAAATTTTAAAATAGTTTTTTTTTCTGATTCTGTGAAGGATGTCAATGTTAGTTTAATGGGAATAGCATTGAACATATAAATTACTTCGGGCAGTATGGCCACTTTCACGATATTAATTTTTTCTGTCTATGAGCGTAGAATGTTTTTCCATTTGTTTGTGTTCTCTCTGATTTCCTTGAGCAGTGGTTGGTAGTTCTCCTTTAAGTGTTCCTTCATATCCCTTGTTACCTGTATTCCTAGGTATTTTGTTCTCCTTGTAGCAATTGTGAATGGGAGTTCATTCATGGTTTGGCTCTCAGCTTGCCTGTTGTTTGTATTTAGGAATGCTAGCAATTTTTGCACATTCATTTTGTATCCTGAGACTTTGCTGCAGTTGCTTATCAGATTAAGAAACTGAAGCTGAGACAATGGGATTTTCTTGATATAGGACCATGTCACCTGCAAACAAAAATAATTTGACTTCCTCTCTGCCCATTTGAATACCCCTTATTTCTTTCTCTTTCCTAATTGCCCTGGCAAGATCTTCCAATACTCTGTTAAATAGGAGTAATGAGAAAGGGCATCCTTTCCTTGTGCTGGTTTTCACGGAGAATGTTTCCAAGCTTTTGTCTATTTAGTATGGTATTGGCTGTGGGTTTGTCATAGATGGCTCATATTATTTTGAGGTAAGTTCCTTCAATACCTAGTTTATTGAGAGTTTTTAACATGAAGAAATGTTGAATTATATTGAAGGCCTTTTCTGCATCTATTGATATAATCATGTGTTTTTTTGACTTTAGTTATGTTTATGTGATGAATCACATTTTTATGTTGAACCACCTTTGCATCCTGGCACTTACTCTAAAATCGATCAGATAATTGGAAATAAAATACCCCTCAGTGAATCCAAAAGAAGTGAAATCATGACAAACAGTATCTCAGACCACAGCATAATCAAATTAGAACTAAAGATTAAGAAATTCACTCAAAACCACATGACTATGTGGAAATTAAACAACCTCCTCCTGAATGACTCTTGGGTAAATAATGAAATTAAGGCAGAAATCAATAAATTATTTGAAACTAATGAGAACAAGGAGATAATGTACCAGAATCTCTGAGATGCAACTAAAGCTGTGTAAGAGGGAAATTTATTGCACTAAATGTTTACATCAAAAAACTAGAAATATCTCAAGTTAACAACCTAACAATCTAACATGATCTAAAAGAACTAGAGAAACAAGAGAAAACAAAGCCCAAACCTAGCAGAAGAGAAGAAATAACCAAAATCAGAGATGAACTGACAGAGATAGAGACACACAAAACCCTTCAAAATATCAACAAATCCAGGAGCTGGATTTTTTTTTTTTGAAAAAATTAGTAAAATAGATAGAATGCTAGTTAGACTAACAGAGAAAAGAGAGAATCAAATAAACACAATCAGAAATGATAAGGGGGATATCACCACTGATCCCACAGAAATACAAACAACCATGAGAGAATAGTATAAACACCTCTATGCACATAAACTAGAAAATGTAGAAAAAATGGATAAATTCCTGAACATATACACCCTCCCAAGACTGAACCAGTGAGAAATTGAATTCTTGCATAGACCAATAATGAGTTCTGATATTAAGGTAGTAATAAATAGCCTAACAACCAAAAAAAGCCCAGGATCAGACAATTAACAGCTGAATTCTACCAGAGGTAGAAAGAAGAGCTGGTACCATTTCTACTGAAACTATTCCAAAAAATTGAAAAAGAAGGACTCCTCTCTAACTCATTCTATTAAGCCAGCATCATCCTGATAGCAAAACCTGGCAGAGATATTACAAAGAAAGAAAACTTCAGGCCAACATCCTTGATGAACATTGATGTAAAAATCCTCAATAAAATACTGGCAAACTGAATCCAGAAGCACGTGAAAAAGCTTATCCACTATGATCAAGTTGGCTTCATCCCTAGGAAAATAGTTAATCTTAATATTTACAAATTAAAAAGAAAAAACTTAGAAGGTCAAGGACCCTGGGAAAGAATGCCGTTTGTGACAAGATAAGCTGACCAATGTACACCAACGTATAAAACAATCTCACTGAAAGGGATATGAGAAGAGGTACCAGTCTAAGTGATTTTGGAGATAAATGGAATCTGCAACATTAAAGGCAAAATGAATGCCACAATAAGCAATAGTTGGCAAAATTGTTTCTCATGAGGATAAAGGTCAAAAAATGTGCTACAATACATGTATACTATAACTGAACAATTAAGTAAATGGATGGCATATGATGGGAACTATATTCTTAATGTTTGAGTAGAAATTTGTAAATAAACAACAAAGAAAATGACTAACATGATCTATGTGGTATCAGATTAGAATGGGAGACATCAGTAAGAAACCATGTTTAACTTAATATGCGTCCCTAATATATATGTGGGTTAGTATTGCTTTTTACTATTAGATGGCAGCAACTAAAAAATGTCACCCCAATAGCAATGAGCACACCTAATACCTAGATCTTGGTTTCTATCTCATCTCCAGTTAAAGAAAATAGAGTTTCCTAAAGAAACATCTGATTTGGGGACTGGAAGAGGAAATACTTAAGATGAACCTAGGGAATCTTGTAGTACCATAAAATAAGGAAGCAATACAATAGTAACAATAATCCACAATAATAAGGGTACATCAAAGTGACACAGGAGTCAACTAAAAGCTTTTGATGTCCAAAGACGGAACAGTTTGAGTATCAAAATAAAGTAGTGTTGGATTTTAACCTAAAGTATAAAATAAATCTTTATGATTTCATATTAACAAATGAATTAACAAATTAATAAATGGGGGAGAAGAGATAAATCTCTCATGTTGAATTCCAAATAAATTATGTAGATGTTTCACCCTAAGAAAGGGGGAGCATAACATCCCACTCCTTAAGTGTGAGCTAACATAGTGACTTCCTGCCAATGACTGCAGTATGAAAAGTGTGTGGGGGGCAGCATAATTTTACAGTGGAGACATCTGACAAAAATTACTTCAGTCAGGACCATGGTCAATATCAATAGTCATAAGTGATATTGTTTGTACCCTTGATATGTGATAAAAATGGCACTTTACTCTGTGATCTTCGTTTCCCAACTATAACCCCAGTTTAATAATGATAAAAAGCATTAGAAAATTTTTAATATAGAGGCGTGCTAAAAGAAACTTAGTCAAAACTCAAAACTTCCAATGTTAGAAAAAACAAGAAACATGTTAGTGGAAGAAGTAGCTGCAGATGTGGAAAAATAGGAAGAGAATTAGGAGGGAAGCCTGAAGATGTTATTAAATTGCTGCAACCTCATGATTTAACTTGAATAGATGAAGAGTTGCTTCTTAAGAATGAGCAAAGAAAGTGGTTTCTTGAAATGAAATCTACCTGGTGAAGATGCTATGGACATTGTTGAAATGACAAACAAAGGGTTTAGAATATTACGTAAACTTAGTCAATAAAGCAGTAGCAGAGCTTGAGAAAATTGACTCCAATTTTGAAAGAAGTTTTTTTGTGGGTCAAATGCTATCAAAGAGCATTGCATGCTACAGAGAAATTTTTTGTGAAAGGAAGAGTTAATAAATGTGACAAACTTCATTGTCTTATGTTAAGAAATTGCCAGTCACCTCCAGCAAACACCACCCTAATCAATCAGCATCCCTCAAAATGGAGGCAAAACTCTGCCACCAGATGTTCTGTAGCATTTTTTAGCAATAAAGTATTTTTTCATTAAAGTAGGTAGATTTTTTTAAGACATAGTGCTATTGCACACTTAATGGACTATAGTATAATGTAAACAACTTTTATATGCACTTGGAAATCAAAAACTTTGTGAGACTCACTTCATTGTGATGTTTACTTTATTGCATTAGTCTAGAATCAAACACATAATATCTCTGAGGTTTGCCTGTAATGAGGGTTCGGAGCACCCTACCAAGCTAAGCTATCTAGACTAGAAGAGATGTTAGACAAGATTAGGGGAATCTAGAATGGGTAGTAGGGTGGGAGATCAAGAGTATTTATTAGAAGCTCATGACCATTTGTAGTGACAGGGACTATATGGTTCCCTACTAGCCCTCCCAGAAACAAAATCAACAGGAATCCTAGAGCAGCTGTTTCCAAAAGAAATAAATTTAAATGATCAAGTAAGGAATTAGAGTGTAAGGAGTAGACTGTAGTCAATGACTGTGGTAAGCCTCCCTGGGCTGACCAGATATGCTCTCAGGACTGACATGCTCATTTCTTAGCTACTGAGAGAGGTGGCTTCTAAAGGCACATGGAGCATCCCTTTCTGGAAATTGCCCTCATCCAAATGGAATTGCTTCTCCTAAGATTGCATATTCTCCTTTAAGACAGGCTTTACCCTACCATTGGTTAATACTTGGTACGTAGGCCTAGACTCTCATCTCAGTTCAGGCTGTCTCTGCAGTGCTATTCTTATGGGATTGACTAATGCTGCTGATGTGACTTCATCACAATTCACCTTCTTCTGATGAGCAGCCCTTTTTCTCTAACACAATCCCAAAAGTCACTGCTATCGTTTGATTGTATGTGTTCCTCCCAAATTCAGATTTTGACACATAATCCCAAATGTGATAGTATTAAGAGATGAAGCCTTTGGGTGGTGATTAAGAGAGGTTTCCACCTTCATGAATGGCTTTAACAACCTTATAGAAGGGCTGGAGGGAACTAGCTAGGTCCCATGTGACGGCACAGCATTCTTTTTTTTCTGGAGGATGGATGCAGCAACACGATGCCATCTTGGAAGCAGAGACCAAGCCCTCACCAGAGAGTGACCTTACCAATGCCGTGATATTGAACTGCTCATTCTCCAGAACTGTGAGAAACAAATTTCTGTTCTTTGTAAATTACCCAGTCTCAGGTATTTCATTATGGAAGCAGAAACAAATGAAGACAGTCAACTACACACAAATCTTAGTCTTAAATTTTCTAGGTAATCTGACATATGTCAGTGAATTATACTTCAATAAGAACTCAAGTTTCAAAAGGAAAATATAATGAGATGATTTGATTATAAAAGAGTAGCTCATATCACACTAATCATTTACCAAGAACAATCACTTTATTTCAGGCACATAGAAGACCAATCTTACCATCCTACTTGCAGGCACCAAGGAGCATGACTTAATAAAATGAACTAAGGACTCTTCATTGATAGATGCATTAAATATTTATTAGAACATGCTATGTGTATAAAGAAATACTGTTGAAATCACTGATATGGGTTTATCAGCAAAGGTGGGTAATTTTCTCCAGGACAATCTGATACAATTCTGTTACTTGTTCTGGACAAGCTTCCAGTCTCTGTGTTCACGTATAGCTGCTGCTTATATAAATTCCTCCAAACAATGACTATTGTCTAAAAGCTGCTCCCAATTTGCAGGTAAATTTTCTGTTTCCCAGAATACCTAATGTAAGGCTTGTTGTCACCTAGAGCCTGGAATGTGTACTGTTGGTCACTTCACGGAACATTCCACACCAGTGGACAAAATTACTCTGGCCCCTGTTAGAACTGACAGCTGTGGGGATTCTGGGCCAAATGTCACTTTGCTTGTGGGCCAAGAGCTGGAAACTTGGAACAGAAAGAAGAAGCTGGTTTGTATCAGGCTGATGTTTAGAACACCCTTCACTCCTCCTGTCATCACAGGGACTTTTCTGGGTCTGAAGTGTACTCCCTGAATATACTGCATTCAGTCAGCCAGCAGCAAACTTGGACAATTAGCAATTTTTTCCTTGATTACTTTTCATTTTTTGTTTTTGCTAATTTGCCCCATTTTGCAACTACTTTTTTTCCCTGGTATCCTTTCATTTTCTTCCTTTTTCCCATAGGCCACATAACTTATTAAAATTATTTGCACCTGTTAAAACAGAAGCACTGTGCTTGGGATCTGAAGGTAGAAATATAACCCATAAATGATTGTTAAACCATATGTTGCATGAATGGGACAAATCAGTAACCCCTCTCTTCGTCATCTTTGTTCAGAGGGAGATTAAAAAAAAAAGAGACCTGGCAGTATTAATTCTGAGCAGCAAAGAGCAACCATTTCCAGTATGAATGGTTTCTCTTGTAATTGCAGGCAGGCCTTAAGTGGGCAGGAGAAAGCCAAGAGCATTTAAGCACCATAATGTGGAAAAGAGTAGAGGGAGGTACAGGAATAAGAGGCCTATTTTTCCTAAAGGATAAGCAAGTAACCTTGTAAGCCATACTGATATTAGTTCTTCCATAGAGAATTGTCCTACGTTGTCTCCAAAGGAAATTCATGTTTGTTTTGGGTTTTGTTTGTTTGTTTTTTATGTAGGGAGCAAAGTTCTCTCTAAGGAATTC
>NW_003315955.1:0-90219 GCF_000001405.40 Homo sapiens | reverse complement strand
GAATTCATTGTCGGGGGAGATAATGGAGTGATGGATTGACAGAGGAGCACAGAGACAGCTTTTTTAAATTCTTAGCTGACCAAAGCCTGGCCTTTAGCTCCCTTGGGCCTCCAGAGATGCACTAAGGGTGGAAGCGACCAGGAGGGAGATAAAAACACTGAAGTCTGAGTGTTAGCACTGAGCCGTGTGGCCTTGGACAGGACTGCCCTTCTCCTGAGCCTCAGCTTCACATGCCACAACTGGCCAATAATAGCTACAAAGTATCCGAAGCCAATGGCTGGGAGCCTGCTCCAGGAGGTAGGTATCATCAGGATGCAGAGAGAGTGAGGAGCTTTTAAAGCCAGCCTAGGCCAGGCACAGCAGCTCATGCCTGTAATCCCAGCACTTTGAGAGGCTGAGGCGAGAGAATCACTTGAGCCCAGAAGTTCAAGGCTGCAGTGAGTTGCAATTGCACCGCTGCACTCCAGGCTGAATGACAGAGCCTTTGTTTCCAAAATAAAATAAAATAAAACAAAACAAAATAATAAAGTCAGCCTGTGTATTGGATTGCATGTTGTTCCAAAGCACCCAAAGTGAGAGAGGCCAGGAAGCAATGAGATGCAGAAAGGCAGGGGGAGGAGGTTCAGAGGCATCAGAGAAGACAGCTGACCCCCATCTCCACATACCCTTGGGGCATCCTGAGCCCCATTCACACACCCAGGTGAGAATCCCTGCACTTGTGAAAGCAACCTGAGGCCGAGAGAACCAACAGGAAACCGTCCCATCTCCCATGTAGGGTTTTCCCATAAACAAGGCTGAGCCGCAGTTCATCACTGCAGCTGAGCTCCCTGCAGCAGCTGCGGTGGGGAAGGCTCCCCAGGAGGTCTGAGTAACCCAGAAACATCCACAGCACACTCCCCAGTCCCCTTAGAGGTTTCTGCTGAGATGAAAGTGTCCTGGCCCGTGGCTAAAGAGTCCAGTACACTGGGCAGCTATAGCTCTCACTACATTGACCTGGTTATCAGGCTCTTATGAACTTAGTGAGGGGAGATGGGTTCCCCAGGGAAGCTTGCTGACTCCCTCACATTGCTGTAAATGCAAAGCCTGGTGACTCCATTATTCCTAGTAATTGTGATGTAGTAATAACAAGAACAGCCATGCTCACCGCCTACTGAAGGCATATGATGAGCCAGACACTGTGCTGGCATATGTGACTTTTGGAGGTAACACATTCTCCTTTAAGGAGGAAATGACTGAGCTTTGGAGGGAGGGTCCTCCATCTGGCCCCAGGCTCCTCTTTGACCTGCGTCTCCCTCCTCCTCCTCGCCTGCTCTACTGCAGCCCCTCTGGCCTCCTTGCTGTTCCTGGAATGCACCAAGCTTGCTTCCAGCCTAGTCCTTGCACTGCTGGCTCCTTCCTGTCTTCCCAATCTCAACTCAGCTGTCATCATCTCTGTGACCCCTCACCACTCATTCCAAAGCAGCCATCAGTCACTTTCTATGCAATCACCTTATCTTAATTCTCACCACAGCTCTTAGTCCTATTTTGATAGTTTCTAGAACTGATGAATTCATTGATTCTGTTTCCTTCTACTGCATGTAAACTCCAAGAAACAAGAGTCCTTGTTTGCTCACTGCTGTGCCCCAGTGCTTGTCACAGCACCTGGCATGCAGCAGGTGCTCAATGAATACATTTTTAAAAGAATGAACGACTGGAAGGAGCCTGAAAGAACGATGGCTTGTGCCAACAGTTCATCTTCAACTTCTTTAGACGGGATGGAGACCATCACCATGCAACCACGATTCTTCTGAGCCTGTGTGGTGGCTGACGGCAGGTGTCAGTTTGGCTGGATTAAGGGATGGCTGGTAACGCATCGCTTCTGGGTGTGTCTGTGAGGGTGTTTCTGGAGGAGATGGGCATGTGAGTTGGTGGGCTGAGTGGTAAAGATCCTCCCTCAATATGGATGACACCATTCCATTGCCAGACAACAAAAAGGCAGAGAAAAGGTGAATTCCCTCTTTCTCCTGGAGGTGGGATGCCTTCCTCTCCTGCCCTTGGACTTAGAACTCCCAGTTCTCCAGCAGTTCCCCAGGCTCTCAAACCTTTGGCCTTAAACTAAGAGTTACATCAACAGCTTCCCAGTCCTGAGGCCTGCAGACTTGGACTGAGCCACGATACTGGCTTTCCTGGGCCTCCAGCTTGCGGACGGCCTTCTGTGGTACATCTTGGCCTCCACAATGGTATGAGCCAATTCCCCTAATAAATTCCTTCCTATCTATCTATCATCTATCTTTCTAACTGTCTATCTGCCTATCTACCCACCCATCCACCATCTATCTTCTATCTATCCATCTATCATCTACCTAATCAATGTATCTATGTCTGCCTGTCCATCGGTCATTTATATCTATTTATCAATTATCTATCTACCTATCATCCATCTGTCATCTATCTAGCTATCTATCCATTCATCTATCTATCTTTTTTTTCTTTTTGAGATGGAGTCTCACTTTGTCGCCTAGGCTGGAGTGCAGTGGCGTGATCTCAGCTCACTGCAACCTCCACCTCCCAGGTTCAAGTGATTCTCGTGCCTCAGCCTCCCGAGTGGCTGGGATTACAGACATGCACCACCACGCCCAGCTAATTTTTCTATTTTTAGTAGAGATGGGGTTTCACCCTGTTAGCCAGGCTGGTCTCAAACTCCTGGCCTCAAGTGATCCACCGGCCTCAGCCTACCAATGTGCTGGTTATTACAGGTAAGAGTCACTGAACCCAACCTATCATCTGTCTGTCTGTCTGTCTGCCTGTCTGTGTCTATCTGCCTGCCTGGCTATCTATCATCTATCTATCCATTTGTCTGCCTGTCTGTTTGCCTGTTTGTGTCTGTCTGTCTCTATCTCTCTGTCTGCTTGTCTATCTAGCCATTTGTCTGCCTGTCTGTCTGTGTCTGCCTGTCTCTCTCTCTCTCTGTCCGCTTGTCTGTCTATCTAGCCATCCATCCATCCATCCATCTCCTATTGGCTGTCTCCCTGGAGAGCCCTGGCTGATGCAGACGGTGCCTTGGTAAGCTCAGGCTGCCATCCAGATTACTGTGGAGGGAGTGACTTAAACAACAGACATGTATTTCTCAGTTTGAGAGGCCCAAAGTCCCGGATCAAGGTGCCGTCAGGGTTAGTTCCCGGCGAGGCCCCTCTTCCTGGCTTGTACCCACCTCCCTGCTGTGTCCTCCGTCATTTTTCCTCTGTTTACAAGTGAGGGGGGAGGAGAGATCTCTGGTGTCTCTCCCTCTTCTTATAAGGACATCAATCCTATTAGATTAGGGTCCTGCCCTATGACTTCATTTAACCTTAATTACCTCCCTAAAAGCCCTATCTTCAATTACAGCTGCATTGGGAGTTAGGGCTTCAACGCAGGAATTCAAGGGGAAGGGCACAGTTTGGTCCACAACAAATGGGAAACCATGTTCATGACCAAACTCCCCAGAAGATATGGTCCATCAGCGTCGCCAATGATTGCAAGCAAAGGCCAGAGAGGAAAGGGGCCTCCGTGGGGTGGGGGGCGGTGGGGGCAGCTGGTGCCGGGAACAAGGTTCCTCTTCCTGTCTAACAGCAGGGAAGTGAGGCCGGCTGCAGATGCCATTTGGGGTGGGAAGAGAGGGGAGCTCCTGTTTGCACATCCTGTGTGGGTCCTGGCCTGATCCCCCTCCGTGCCTCCCACTTCTTGTGCCCTCCTTTGTGTGGGAGAAACGCCGACCTCTGCTGGCTCAGGTGTCCAGGTCCCCAGGCCTGCTGGCTTTGGGCTGGGTTCAACCAACGAGAGGCTTGGGAGGAACCTGGGAGGTGGAAGCAAGGGAGGGCGCGGGAGCTCTCCACCTCCTCTGCCTCAGACAGCTTCTCCAGCAGGAGAGGTGGTCCTCTGTGTAGTTCCAGCTCCTGCCAGAGTCCCACCTTTGTTTGGGCTCCCAGCAGGTGACTCTGGCCCCTGGACTCTGGTCACAGGACTTCCTCCCTCTCATCCCCACCTAGGGGTGGTGGTGGCACCCTGCTGCCAATCTCCAGGTCACCCCCACAATGCTAAGAACCCTCCCTCTACCTGCATGGTTCCCTCTCAAGGCACTGAGAAGGGCCCTAACCACATGTCCACAGGGTCAAACATTTTTTGTAAAATTTACAAAATGGAAAATATTTTCCCTACAATCAATTAACGTCCCCGTTCATTTCCAGTCTTGAGTTCCTGCCCGTCACATTTTCTCTTGTGTGAGGTGGAAACGGAGGCTTGCTGCCACGTGGGGGCTCCTGCTAAGGAGAAGTTGAACTGGAAAGATATTTAGTTTGGCTTTGGTCGGGTTATATTTATGTAGTTCCCATTTATTTCCATGTATAGTTCAGTTACTGCTCGCTATCCCGGTGTGGAAACGGATTCCAGCAATACTCGCTCCACTCACCGTTCCAATTCCACCTACCGCGCAGAATCAAAAATCACAAGACACGAACATATCCTGCGGTGCCTGGCGCCGGAAAAACGTGCGCAGTGGAGAGAAGCAAGATTTGAAATGCACGGGTCCAGAAGCAAATCTGTGGAAAATTACTCCCATCACCAGAGGTGAAGTTGTAAGCAAAGGATTCAGTTCCTTCAATGTGGAGTCAAAACAGAAAAGTCTCTCTGGTCAGAAATACATGCACAAATGCCTCATATGCAGTTAGAAATCTCCCCCATTTTCCTACTTCTTTCTTGATGGGAATCACATTTAAAAAAAAAGAAAAAAACAGGATTTACCAGAATTCCTGTGTATCTTGAACAAAACAATTGTAGCAGCACCACCAACTCCATGTTGACCGCCACTTTTGTATACATCCCAACTACCAAAAATAAAAACAAAATTTGATCAACTAAGGAGATTCATTCGCTTTATTTATTTATTTATTTTTGAGATGGAGTCTCACTCTGTTGCCCAGGCTGGAGTGCAATGGCACGATCTTGGCCCACTGCAACCTCTGCCTCCTGGGTTCAAGCCATTCTCCTGCCTCAGCCTCCCAAGTAGCTGGGATTACAGGCGTGCGTCATCACACCTGGCTAATTTTTTATGTTTTTGGTAGAGATGGGGTTTCACCATGTTGACCAGGCTGGTTTCAAACTCCTGACCTCAAGTGATCCGCCCATCTCAACCTCCCACAGTGCTGGAATTACAGGCGTGAGCCACCACGCCCAGCCTATGTTTTTTTTTGTTGTTTTTTTTTTTTTTTTGAGACATGGTCTCACTCTCTCACCCAGGCTGGAGTGCAGTGGCATGATCACGGCTCACTGCAGCCTCGACCTCCTGGGCTCAAGCAATCCTCCCACCTCAGCCTCCTAAGTAACTGGGACTACAGGTGTATGCCACCATGCCCTGCTAGTTTTTGTATTTTTAGTAGAGACGGGGTTTCGCCACGCTGCCCGGACCGGTCTTGAACTCCTGGCCTCAAGTGATCCACCTGCCTTGGCCTCCCAAAGTGCTGGGATTACAGGCACGAGCCACTGTGTCCAGCCTGATCAGTTTTCTGTTCTCGAAATAGAAAACGATATTACAAAGTCATCATATTGAAGAAGTAATGCCAAAAATGTGGGAGAAATAGAACTTTGGAGATATGACTGACAGTTGACTGGTACTCTTCTGCATGTAGTGATGTTTGTGATATTTAACAGCTGCTTATAATTTATAATTTGCTGTTATTTATTTTCTCATTCTAAATGAATCATTGCATCCATACCTTTAGAGGGCTGTATAAGCCCACACCACTTTGATTTCCTGCTGATTGCCTCTCTGTTCCCTGTCTGGCCTTCACCTCTCCCATCATCTGTGTAACTAGTTCCCCGCCTTTAAGTCCTTCTGTTCTAAATGCTCAAGTGGACCAGGCACTGTGGCTCCCGCCTGTAATCCCAGCACTTTGGGAGGCCCAGGCAGGAGGATCACATAAACCCAGGAGTACAAGACCAACCTGGGCAACATAGTAAGACCTTGTCTTTACACACACACAAAAAATACAAAAATTAGCAAGGCGTGATGGCACATGCCTGTAGCTCCAGTACTTTGGGAGGCTGAGGCAGGAGGATTGCTTGAGGTTGGGAGTTCAGGACCAGCCTGGGCAACAAAGCAAGACCCTGTCTCTACAAAAATAAAAGAAAAAATTAGGCAGGCATATAGTGTGCACCTATAGTCCGAGCTACTTGGGAGGCTGAGAAGGGAGGATCGCTTGAGCTCAGGAGTTCAAGGCTGCCATGAGCTGTGATCACACCACTGCACTTCAGCTTGCGTGACAGAGTGAGACCTTGTCTTGGGAAAAATAAATAAATAAATAAATAAATAAATAAATAAATAAATGCTCAAGCGGTTTCCATTTCCTGGTTAGACCCCATTACATACCCTATGAACAAACCGCATGCATGAGAAAGGTGAGCAGATGAACAGGGCAGGGCCAGGGGGCCAAGGGGAAGATCACAGATCACGTGGAGCGAGACCAGTGGTCAAAAACTGCCAACTACAGCCAGGCCTGGTGGCTTATGAAGGTAATCTCAACGGCCGGGCCTGGTGGCTCATGCCCGTAATCTCAGCACTTTGGGAGGCCGACGCGAGCCTATCACCTGAGGTCAAGAGTTCGAGACCAGCCCGGCCAATGTAGGGAAACCCCGTCTCTACTAAAAATACCAAAATTGGCCAGGCATGGTGGCGGGCGCCTGTAGTCCCAGCTACTTGGGAGGCTGAAGCAGGAGAATTGGTTGAACCCGGGAGGCGGAGGTTGCAGTGAGCTGGGATCTCACCACTGCACTCCAGCCTGGGCGACAGAGCGAGACTCCATCTCAAAAAATTTAAAAAAAAAAAAACAAAAAACTGCAGACTCCAACAAGGAAGAGCCACAGGACGATACCCCAGGATGCGGGAAAAGGCTACGCCAGCCTTGGATCCCTTCTGATTAATGGGCACCCCAGTCACCAAAGGGGTAGATGCGTTTCACTCAACCTTTATCCAGCCATCAGAGTATAACACAGGGATGTGCCATAGACAGAGATGGAGACCAACAGGTAGAGGGGTGATGGGGAGGAAGACTGAGGCAAGAGGAACAAAACGGGGACTGCAGAGGGTAGGTGGCAGGAGCCTGAGGGTTCCAGAAGAAACTGTTGCACAAGTAATGAGTCAGCAGGGTGAGTGACGGCCAGGAGAGGTGGCCCAAGAAAACAAAGAGACATCTCCGGGGGTACAGATGCGTCTTGAGGGGCCGAGGAAGAGATGGGGAAGGGGTGGCTCTGTGGACCCTCGGCATGACTGCCGTGGTGAAAAGGAATCAAAGACCTCGACAAGGGGATGACTTTTCAAACAAGGAAGCCCTGGGCCTTCGCAGGGGGACCAGCAGACTGAGGGCAAACGGCATTCTGTTCATTAAAGTCTTAATAAAATGTCAAGGTAAGAACACTTGTCTGGTTTTGGGGGCAATCCCAGAAATACCAGAAAAGGGACTCATCATGCGCAATCTTTTCTTAATTACCTGGAGAAATGTATGGTTACCTAAGACAGAGAAAGGCAGCCAAAGCAAGTGGAGGCCAGGCACAGTGACTCACGCCTGTACTCCCAGCGCTTTGGGAGGCTGAGGCAGGAGGATCGCTTGAGGCTGGAAATTCAGTACCAGCCTAGGCAACAACAAAACAAGACCCTGTCGCTACAAAAACAAAAACAAAAATTTTTTGAGACGGAGTTTCACTCTCTTTGCCCAGGCTGGAGTGCCGTGGCACGATCTCAGCTCACTGCAACCCCCGCCTCCTAGATTCAAGCAATTCTCCTGCCTCAGCCTCCTGAGTAGCTGGGATTACAGGCATGTGCCACCATGCCCAGCTAATTTTGTAGTTTTAGTAGAGACAGGGTTTCTCCATGTTGGTCAGGCTGGTCTCGAACTCCCGACCTCCTTGGCCTCCCAAAGTGCTAGGATTACAGGCATGAGCCACCGCGCCCGGCTGCTACAAAAATTTTTTAAAAATTAGCCAGGCATGCCAGGCGCGGTGGCTCCCACCTGTAATCCCAGCACTTTGGGAGGCCAAGGCAGGTGGATCACGAGGTCAGGAGTTTGAGACCAGCCTGACCAACATGGTGAAACCCCGTCCCTACTAAAAATACAAAAATTAGCCAGGTGTGGCGGCACATGCCTGTAATCGCAGCTATTCAGGAGGCTGAGGCAGGAGAATTGCTTTAATCCAGGAGCCGGGGGTTGCAGTGAGCCGAGATTGCACCACGGCACTCCAGCCTGGGCAACAGAGTAAGACTCTGTCTCAAAAAAAAAAAAAAAAAAAAAATTAGCCAGGCATGCAGCGCACACCTGTAGTCCCAGCTACTCAGGAGGCTGAGAAGGGAGGACCAATTGAAACTGGGAGGTCGAGACTGGGAGGTCATGATCACGCCACTGCACTCCAACCTGGGCAACACAGCAAGACCCTGTTTAATAATAATAATAATAAATAATGCAAGTGGGTATAAGAATTTATTTATTTATTTATTTATTTATTTATTTATGAGACAGGGTCTCACTCTGTCGCCCAGGCTGGAGTGCACTGGCGCAATCTCGGCTCACTGCAAGCTCCGCCTTCCGGGTTCATGCCATTCTCCTGCCTCAGCCTCCCGAGTAGCTGGGACTACAGGCGCCCGCCACTGCACCCAGCTAATTTTTTGTATTTTTAGTAGAGACGGGGTTTCACCATGGTCTCGATCTTCTGACCTTGTGATCTGCCCGCCTCGGCCTCTCAAAGTGCTGGGATTACAGGTGTGAGCCACCGCTCCCGGCCCTAAGAATTTATTTTATCCCAGCACTTTGGAGGCTGAGGCGAGTGGATCACGAGGTCAGAAGATTGAGACCATCCTGGCTAACATGGTGAAACCCCGCCTCTACTAAAAAAATACAAAAAATTAGCCGGGCGTGGGGGCGGGTGCCTGTAGTCCCAGCTATGCGGGATGCTGAGGCAGGAGAATGGTGTGAACCCGGGAGGCGGAGCTTGCAGTGAGCGGAGATCGCGCCACTGCACTCCAGCCTGGGCAACAGAGCGAGACTCCATCTCAAAAAAAAAAAAAAAAGAATTTATTTTAAGACAGCAAGCTCTAGGGTTGAAGCCAGTCTCCACCTAGCCCCAGGCCCAAAGCTATAAGCATGGCTACTGTAACATCTTTACTCAGGACACCACCCTTCAGGGGCCCAGACCCACACCATCAAGGAGGAGCGTCCACACCAGCAGCTGGGGAGAGGGTGGTTCCCTACAAGATGCAATGTCCACTCTGAAGAGCCATTATAGTGATAATCATGAAATCCATGCCTGAGATCTAATTTCAAGTGAAAAGAACAGAATTCAACATTCATTCTATGGGGAGTATAAAACTCTGAAAATATACGCCTTTCATAATTAAATCAAACCCTATGTCATGTTCCTGAGGAGACAAGCACTGAATGGAACACAGAAGAAATGCTACAGCCAATGATTGTTGAAGTTTTCCTTTCAATTTCCTGTTCATGTTGTTTGGCAATAAGTAATACAGAAAACTGACAACAAAAAGCAAAAGAGAAAGAAAAGATACAGTGTACAGTTTAGATTGCTTTCCTTAAAAAATTAAATAATAATAATAAAAAGCATAGGCCGGGTGCGGTGGCTCACGCCTGTAATCCCAGCACTTTGGGAGGCCAAGGCGGGCGGATCACCTGAGGTCGGGAGTTCGAGACCAGCCTGACCAACATGGGGACACCCCGTCTGTACTAAAAATACAAAATTAGCCGGGCATGGTGACGCAGGCCTGTAATCCCAGCTACTTGGGAGGCTGAGGCAAGAGAATCGCTTGAACCCGGGAGGTGGAGGTTGCAGTGAGCTGAGATCGCGCCTTTGCACTCCAGCCTGGGCAACAAGAGCGAAACTCCATCTCAAAAAAAAAAAAAAAAAAGCATAAATGCAAGCTGGGCGCGGTAGCTCATGCCTGTAATCCCAGCACTTTGGGAGGCCGGGGCAGGTGGATCACCTGAGGTCAGGAGTTTGAAACCAACCCGGCCAACATGGCGAAACCCCATCTCTACTAAAAATACAAAAATTAGCCAGGCATGGTGGCGCGTGCCTGTAATCCCAGCTATTCAGGAGGCTGAGGCAGGAGAATTGCTTGAACCCAGGAGGCAGAGGTTGCAGTGAGCCAAGATTGAGCCACCACACTCCAGCCTGGGTGACAGAGTGAGACTCCGTCTCAAAAACCAAACCAAACCAAACCAAACAAAACAAAAAAAAGAAGCGGCATAATACAAAGTCCCGGCAGTTAAAGCGTTAACCCCCAGCTACCAGGAAGGCTCTGCTATCCAATGACTCATCGCCCCAGCCAAGGTCAGCCACACCTTGGGTCTCTGATGCTGGAGGCAACATGATGCCAACACTGGCGAGAAATCCACCACCTCCTCCTCCCCGCCCCTCGGTGCCGGCCTCTGTGTGCACTTGCAGCTCTTCCACTACCGGTGCCTCCATGGTGTCTACGCCACCGGCTCACCTCCCAGCAATAACCCGACAGCCCGACACCTCTGTAGACCCTGTGGCTACAGAGCTAAAGTTCCCTGTTATTAGTGGGTTTTGCAGACAACCCTCCAAATCCCTCTGGGTTGAGTTAGTCAAGTCCTTAACAAGCTGGAAGATGACAGGGGTTGGATGTAACCCACTTCCAACTGGCTTGGGTTACATGGACATTATTCCTCTTCTGGGATCTGATTTGGGATGGAAACAGGAGCCATAGTTCATGGGAAGGCTGTGAAAGGAAGCCCCGGCCCCAGGGTGCGGATCAGGTTGATCTGCGGAACAAGGCCCCAGGGGCGGCCCACCCGCCTGCTCTGCCCAGCCCTTCCTGGTAACCACACTCACCCGGGGCCCATCTCAAACCTGGCAGGCAATGCTGCTGCTCCCATCTCAGCCGCTGCCCCAACACGCCTCGCCTGGCCAGGACAGGTGCCCAGGCATGGCATTCAGGGACATCCTCGGCTTCCGGGGCCCAACCCCTGGTTCCCAGGTGCAGCGCTGGGAAAAGCAGAGGGCCCCGGCCATGGCGCAGGCCTCGTCACAGGTCATTTAAGCAGCCTGGGAGGAGCCGGAAAGAGAGCAATGCACCCACCTGGACAGAGACTGAAGCCACATCCCCATTGAGAAAAGATGACACTCCTGCCTGGACCCCTTCTCTGAAACCCCAGGCCGGGGTGGGGTAGGAGTCAGCGAGAGAGTCCAGCGCTCCAAAGGGGACTTTCTGGCCCTCCGTGCCCCCTAACCCAGCACTTCTGGGGACCCACACACTCAGGGCAGAGTGGCCATCCAGGGTTCCTCTCACCCAGACACAAAGGCCACTGAAGGCCCCGGGCCAACACCGCTCTGAGGATGACCAGCGACTTGAGTTCCTGCCAGAGACAGCAGGCAGCCTGGGTCTAAGGGCCGCCCAGTGACTTGAAGCTGGGATCATCTTACATTCCCTGCGCCACTCCTGTTTCCTGTCCTGGAGGTTTTCAGGCTGCCAACAGTCATGCTTTGGAGAACCAGGTCAGATTAGGCTGGGAACAAAGCTCAGCTGTCACAGAGCTGCCGAGAGGCCATTGGCAAGCAGTGCCCAGGAGCCGCCCCTCCTCTGCCAGCAACAGCTCAATGTCTCCCTTCACAGGGGCTGCAAATGGGCCCATGCCCAGGGTGGGGTCAGGGAGATAAAGCAGAGAGAAACTGGGCTGGGAGCAGAGAGTGCCATGCTCTACCCTGGAGACCCAAGGCCAGGCCACCCTGCAGAGCTGGTGCCCAGAGCCTCCAGCGTACAGGAGAGGAGGCAAACAGAACCTGACACTCAGCAGCGCCCGGCAGACGCTTCTGGAATGAATGACCAAATCCACATGGAGAGTTGAAATGGGCTAGGAACCTCAGGGAGACGGGCAGCTCACAGCTCAGCAGGGCCGCTCCAGTAGAGCAGGCCAATGCCAGGCCTCCTGGCAAATTTCCCGGGGCCCAGGCACAACTGTCACATCAGGAAAGGGGCAGGGGTGACCAGCCCATCGGCCACGGGGGCACTTCACTGCTCCCACAGAAGCTCGGCACCCACAGGCCTGGGTGACACACGATCCCCATGCCTGGCATCACGATGGCTGCCCACCAAGTCCCTCCACCCACCAGGACTGACTCCCTTTGGTCAGCGATTCCAGATCACCATGACCTGGCAGTTGCCGTCAGGCCTGCCTGGCTAAGGACTCTCCCGGAGACTGAGCCACTTCACACAGCAAAGTGAGCCATGGGGCCACAGCGCTGTGTGCTGTGTACAAGCCCCGAGGGCTTCACCCAGGGATTGGCACCCACTGATCCCCATAAATCCCTGGCAACCGCCTAGAGCTGGGATGTTTCCAAGGTAATAGCTCCAACAAACAGAGGCGCAGGAACCCAGCGCGTCACTTCCCGCCTCACCCCAAAGGTTCACACCCCTAGGGGCCTGGAGCCTCTCTCTGGAGCCCCTCCTACCCTAAAGCCAGCTGGATCTGCCCAGGAACTGCCATCATCACCCCCTGGCCGGGCCTGCACTGATGTGTACTGAACTCCCCTTATCAGGTCCATCTTAGGCAAACTTCAGAGCCCACGCAACACTGCCTGTGGACAAACACTGGGGCGGAAACAGGGGCCACCTCTAGGTCCCAGTCACATGGGGCTGTCAGGGCTGCCTGGGATGGCAGGAGAGTGTCAGAGGAGGGCAGCCCAAGGACCAGGTAGGGGGTGGGAAGTGTCCCCTTCCATGGGTCCTCAAGTGAGATGTCCTCTGCAAACACCCACCTGGGATCTCCAAGCAGAGGGTTGGCTCCCATGTCACCTGGACCTGGATTCCAGACCACTGCCCCTAAGTGGCAATCCTGGGTCCCCCTGTACCTGTCCTGGCTTGAGCTGGTCACACTTGTGGGGGGTGGTTCCAGGAAGAAGGTGGACTGTCGCAAACGCAATGCTCCGCTGCCAGGTGCATTGCCCTCGGCTATCAGAATCCCTCTGGGCAGGCCGGGGAGATCTGACGGGCAAGTGCCTGCGGTCTGGCGTGAGCGGGCAGGGCAGGTGGCCCCTGCCTGGGCATGCCTTTCTACCTTTGCAACAGACTAGGGAGAGGGCTGGCCCCAGGACTTAGGCTCAGCCAGCTGTCTCACAACTGAGGGGCCTCGGCGGAGGACACAAGTCAGACAGAGCCACAGACTAACCGTACGAGGTGGCTTTTTCTCTCCAGTCCAGGTCCCCTGAATGCGCCAGAGCAGACAAGCTTGGACGTGAGGAGGCAAGAGGCAGCGAGAACAGGCGCGGAGACGGGGCTGGGGGAGAAGAGGAAGAAACCCTGTGCTTGTGCCCTTCCCACGCTCGCCTGTCACCGGGTTAGCTGACTGGGGAAGTGTTCTCTGAGGGTGCAATTCCTTGCCCTTCCCGTAAGTCAGCTCCCGGGGCGCTGGGTGAGGGTGCAGCCCTGTCCACCACGGCGAGCCAGCACACTGAATCACGGCAGAAGCTGCTTCCTGTGTGGGTGCAGCCTCCCTCCCTGCCCAGGACTCAGAAGTCACGACAGCATAGAGCTTTTTAATCGTGGCTGGTGCCCCTTCAGGAATCTCCTGAAAGCCACAGAGAAACTCCAGAGTGGCTGGGCACGGTGGCTCATGCCTGTGATCCCAGCACTTTGGGAGGCTGAGGCGGGTGGATCACCTGAGGTCCGGAGTTCGAGACCAGCCTGGCCAGTATGGTAAAACCCCATCTCTACTAAAAAATACAAAAATTAGCTGGGCACGGTGGCACATGCCTGTAATCCCAGCTACTCAGGAGGCTGAGGCATGAGAATTGCTTGAACCTGGGAGGCAGAGGTTGCAGTGAACCGAGATCGTGCCACTGCACTCCAGCCTGGGCAACAGAGCAAGACTCCATCTCAAAAAAATAAAAAATAAAAAAAGAATCTCCAGAGTAATTCCCAGGTGCCAGTAGGGGTGTGACGCAACCTCAGTCCCGCTTCTGTGGCTCATCGGCCTCGGGTAAGTCCTCCTGCCGCTGCCACCCACAGAGAGTTTCCAGGGGAGCCTGGGAATGACGGCAAGTTCCATGTGACCTAGTATGCAAAGGGAGTCCCAAAACTCAGAACCTAGAGAGCCAGGGCGGGTACAGTGCAGCTGGCTCCAGTGCTGAGGGGCTGGGGGAGAGACCCTGCACCATGCTCTGACCACAGTAAGGGAAGATCATGGAGGCTTCTGGAACGTCCTAGCAATGGCGTAACCCCAGCCTTCTCCATCCTCCTGTCAATGACAATCATGATCATGACAGCAGCTAACAGGTTACAGAGCAGGCATTTCTCAGCTTTTTCAAATATGAACTCGTTTAACCTTTACAACAACATAGCACTGTCCCATTTAACAAATGAGGCAGGCTGGGCGTGGTGGCTCATGCCTGTAATCACAGCACTTTGGGAGGCCAAGGCAGGCAGATCACGAGGTCAGGAGTTCGAGATCAGCCTGACCAACATGGTGAAACCCCATCTCTAGTAAAAATATAAAAATTAGCTGGGCGCAGTGGCACGTTCCTACAATCCCAGCCACTCAGGAGGCTGAGGCAGGAGAATCACTTGAACCTGGGAGGCGGAGGTTGCAGTAAGCTGAGATCATGCCATTGCACTCCAGCCTGGGAGACAGAGTGAGACTCCGTCTCAAAAATAAATAAATAAATAAAATTAAAAAACACCACACACACAAAAAAACAAATGAGGCAAATGAGATGCATGAGGTGAGAACCTTGTGCCACAGGGAGAGGCGCAGCCTGGTGAGATTTAATCCCAAGGGGCTGGCGGCTCTGAGCCCCCAAGTGTAACCACTGGACCACACTGCCTGTAGACTACCACTACCTCCACCCCATTGGAAGGCCGGGTGAGGCAATCGGGAAAGCCTGGAGCAGCAGTGGAGCTGCCAGAGAGAACCTGTCCCCAGTGTCCCCCTGGATCCTGCAGCTGCCCTGTGTGGGCCCTTGCTGCCTTCCGCATTGGAAAAGACCTTCTTACAGATGGGGTCTCATGACGCCACCCAGGCTGGAGTGCCGTGTCTATTTCCAGGCGCTGTCACAGGGCTGCAGCCTTGAACTCCTGGCTTCAAGCGATCCTCCTGTCTCAGCCTCCTGAGTAGCCTCCTGGGCTCAAGCGATCCTCGTGTCTCAGCCTCCTGAGTAGCCTCCTGGGCTCAAGCGATCCTCGTGTCTCAGCCTCCTGAGTAGCTGGGACTTCAAGCGCACCTGGCCAAGTCCCTTTTTATTCTCCACTACTCAAGACTTCTCCTTCCTCAAGGCCCAGCTCAATCTCACCTCCACCTAAAACCTCCGGGGCATTCCTGTAGTATTTGGAGGCTGAACTGCTCAGGAGGGAAGGGTGTTAATGAGCTGGTGTCTCGCCCTCATCCTGACTCCCGGTGAGAATGTAAGTTCTCTGCAGGCAAGGACTATATCTCATTACCATTTCTGTACCCACTCAGACTTGGCCATGTGTGCCCAGCACATAAAGTGTCTTCGATGACTGTCTATAGACCCACGGTACTTGAGATTGCCCCAACACATCCTTCTAAAATCTTTCTCCTTTTCAGAGGCTCACGAATGTTCAAACCAGGTCTACCGGGAACAACATTATGGTCATTCCGTTTATTCTGAAGCCCACATACAGGTCTGGAAGCAATAATCCCGCACAGTCTAGATGAAAAAATAAAGACCTTCCTGTTGTCCTTGGATTGTCAGAGCCTTGGGGGATTTTTAACATCTTTTGCTGCTTTCCTTAATTTCATGGTGTCGATGGCTTGTTGGGGGGTCAGCCTGACTCCTGCGAGTGCCCGTACCCGGAAAAGGGCTGGTGCCAAGACAGCTCCAGGACACTCAGAATGAGGGCAAGAGGCCACCCCCACCATCAGCCCCCTCCAGTCCCACTCCATACAACTGCAACACAGTGACCCAGCACACCTTGGGCCACTGCCAAGCAGGGAGCAAACCAGAAATGGTCTGAGCCCTCCCTTCCCCCATCCTCAGAGGGGCCTGCCCCTTTAGGTAAACACAAGGAGGCACCGAGGCTGCTGTACAAGAGTTGGTTCCTGCTCACTCCACAAACTCTACTTCCACCTACTGCAAAAGGTTCTGTCCTTTTTTTTAAAAAAAAAAAAAAAAAAGAAACCCAGTGAGGGGTGGGGTAGGTGTGTGTGGAGGAGAGGAGAAAAGGACAAGTGATGGTCTCCCCACCTCCCAGTAAGCCGCAGGTGCAGAGACTCCAAGCCTGCCTCAGGGCCCTTCCGGCATCTGTGCAGGAGGGTCTCCGCAGAAAAAACCCAGGACCCACGACCTGGGAGGACCCCGGTCACCCCCACTGTCTGGACCCACCAGTGGGAGGTAAAGTGTAAGAAACCAAGGGCAAAGGGCCCTCCCTGGGCGGGCTAGAGATCCCCTGGAAAGGGCCATGCACCGCGCGATCCCCACAACAATCTCAAGTATTTGGAGCATGTTGGGGAGGAAGCCCCGGTGCCAAAACCAAGCATGTGCCACCTGGAAGCCCGCTCCCGCCCACCAGCACACCAACCCACCCACGCTCCTGACAGAGCTGTGCTCCGGGTGCGTAGAGGGCCATCTTGTTCGCAACAACCGGGTGAAAGTTGAAATTCTAAGCTACTGACCCAGAAGGGTATTTTCGGGGAAGTTCTGAGTAATCCTCTTTGAGACAAGGTACTTTATCACTCATTTTGGTTCCTAAATATGGAAAGCCAGAGGAAACCGACAATGGCCCAAAGGCAGGGGGATGGCCCCGATGACTCCTTCACCTCCAACTAAGGCCCATGATTCTGTTCTCCTATCAATAAAAATTAATTCATGGATCCTTGGCAGGTACCTTTCTATCTGAATGAATTAAAGGAGGGACATTAAACAAACGGTTTCTAGATTTAGAAGAGGAGACGCTATTTATAATTTGAGGACTGAGGAGGACAAAGGATCCTGCCTGCCTGGATCCTTTGGAGAAAACCACAAAGGAAAAAAAAAAGGAAGGAAAAGACAAATAATGAAGATCTGGATTTCTCTTAACCTGCCCTTGTGGCCTCGGTGTGCCCATCTGTGAAATGGAACTTCAGAGTGCCAGAGCGGGAGCCTCTTATGAAATGAAAGCTCCTGAACCGGCTCATGGTGAGGCCCAAGTCAGGCCCCCTTCGCCTACTTAAGGCGGGCCCTGCTAGGGTGGAGTGAGGATGTCAGCCGCGGGCGGCGTCCTGAGCGCAAAACGTGAACCCGAGTCGCCAAGTTTGGGCGCTGCTGGACGGTCCCATCTGGAGGCCGTCCCGTGCCCCACTAAGTAGAGGAGAAACCGAAGAGAATCCGAAGAAAGGATGCTGCGGCCTGGACCACCAGCCCTAGAGGCTGAACCCAAGGACACCCCTCCACCTAGCCCCGACCCCATTCACCCACACAGACGCACAGGGACCCAAAGCACCCGGCCGACCTGGAAAGTCAGCGATTCCTGCGAGGGTGCAAGGGGCGAGGAAGAGGGAGCGTCCCCCAGGGCAGCCCCTCCGACACTCGAGCAAGGGCTGGAGACAGCGCAGGGGACGGTCGGCTCAGGTCGAAAGCGGCCCGACAGCGGCCCTGTCCTGGGAGGAACTCGACCTGCAGTGTGCCCGCCGCGGGGACTCGCTCAGCTCCGGGGGCGCCTCGCCACTCCCGGCCGCAGGCACTCAGGTGAGCAGCGCTGGTCCCGGGACACCGACCCCTCCCCACCCCGGGCGCGAAGCCCACCTGAGTAAGACTTCTTCATGGTGCCTCCGTGGCCGCCGCTCCCAGGAAAGTGTGGCGGCGAGGCAGCGGGGCGCGCGCTCCCAGGGCGCTAATCCTGGGCCGGTAGTAGGAAGGCGGGAAGAGGGGGCGGCCCGCCGTCTGGAGTGCACCGACCGGGCCCCGCCCCGGCCCCGCCCCCGCCCCGCCCCTCCCCGGAGATGCGCATAGAACCCCGGCCCAGCCGGCTGTGGTCCCGCCCCTGACCCGCCCCCTCCCCGCCCCGTGAACGTGCGCGCCGAGCCCCACCCCCGCCCACCCCTGCGCTGCGCTGCACCTGGCGGAGCGGGGCTGGCGGGCGCCGGGCCTGGGAGGGGGCGCCCCCGCGCGGCAGCGCAGACCAGACCAGACCAGGCCAGGCCGGGGGTGGGGGCCGCCTGCGTGGCCCGCCGCGCCCGCAGCTCTGCACCCCCAGCTCCCCGCGCTGGCGCCAATGGCTGGTTCCGGGAGTCGCCGCACTTCCCAGTCCCGAGTCCGGGCGGGGCGGGCCCGGCCAGGTGGAAGCGGGCGGAGGTGCGGGCGCTCCGGGCGGCCCCGCCGGGCGAGGCGGCGGCGCCGGGCACCGCGGCGGCGCCGGGCACAGCCGGGGGTCGGAGCCGGGGTGCCGGCTTAGTGGGCCGGGGTAGGGCGGGACAGGACACCTGTCCTGCTACTTTTCTGGTAATCAAAAGGGCAGAGTGCGTCGATTGAGTTGGAGCCTTAGTTTCCTCACCTGTAAATGGGCGCGTTGGACAGATGATCATTTGTTCTCCCTGCGCTGGGCACCGTGCGCAGCTCGGTGTATCGGTGCAGCGGGGCAGACACAGGGAGCCGCCCTTTACAACTCGGGTAACGCAGGCAGTGGTGAGAGGATGCAAAACTTGCACGGAAGAATTCTCTCTACTTGGATATCCTTAAAGTCTCCACGATAAAGCGGTGTTTCCAACGTACAGAGGAAGAAGTGACTAATTATGACTGGAGGGTGGTGTCAGAGTTTTATTGAGGCGAAATCAAAACAGGGTTTTAAGGAATGAGCAGGAATTAGCCAGGCAGCCAAGGTGATGGAAGGCAGCTGTTCCCGAAAGAGGGAAGGGCGTGGCGGAGCCTGGGAGGCCTGAGGTATCACAGCGAGTGTGGAGAGACAGAGGCAGGGCCGGGCCCTTGCACAGCTGCCAATGGAGGCCGTAGAGGACGAGAGGAAGGCGGGAGGCCAGTTGGGAAGCGCTCGCTAGTTCTGGGTAGGGGCGCAGCATTGCCTTCTCCTGCAGCCCTCCCAAAAATGCACAGGAGGCTGAAAGTGTCACTAACAGCCCCGAAAAATCCTCCTCCTCTTCCCCTCTCCTTTACTCTCCTTGGGGGTCCAAGAAGCATTTTCATTTCCTGCCTGAGTGTGGGAAACTTATATGCATGAGAACGGAGGCCTATGTGGCACCGTGGGTTCGTTCCGGCCCACCTGCTTCCTTTCTTGAGTAATCTGTCCAGCCACAGCCCTGCAGAGGGAGCAGCCCAGCCAGAGGAGTTTCCCCTCACCCCAGGTAGAGCTGATTGGACCGGAGTGGACACTGGACTTCAACTGAGTCCACCCCTTTCCTTATCTGGGGGTTAGAGGCTCAGGAGGCCTCGGGAGGGAAGTGCTGTAAGGGAGGGGAGCAGGGAGTATGGACGAATTGTGAACAGCGTCCTGGATTCTGGGATGTCCACACCCTAACCGCAACCCCCACCCACACGCCCACTCACCGCTTGTACCAGCACCAGCAGATTCCGGCTTAGGCCGTGTCCTGACTTGGCCAGCAAGCACCATGATGACACTGCCCCCAGCCTAGCCATGATGACACTGCCACGAGCCTAATGCCTGGGATTCCCAAAGTCCAGCGGTGTCTCAAGAATCTGGGTTATGGGTGCATTGCTGGCTTTGTCCATTTTACTCAGCACAAGTCAGAGGTGCCCTGGAGCACAGTCACCCTGAGGATGCCAGCCCTGGCTGTTCCCTGGCTTTGGGTAGGTGGGTTCCTCTGCGGATGCTCACGCTTCTGCCTGGGGTCACAATTCACAGGAACCTGGGCACCCAGGACCCAAGGACACCTGCGTGGAGTGATGTTGGACACATCACATGGGTGCCTCCTGTGTGATGGTTCCTGGATATCCGAATTTTCCTTCCGATTCCAAGAAATCAGAAAGAAGGACAAGAGAGAGGGAGGGAAGGCTGGGAATGAGGGTTCTACACATTTTTGAGATGCATGAAGCTTAATCTGTCATGAAATTAGAGTTAAAAAAAAAAAAGAAAAATTAAAGAGATGCACGAAGCTTAATTGTTTAAGCCTCAAATTTTGTTTTTATTTATTTATTTTTATTTTTTATTTTTTGAGAGGGAGTTTTGCCCTCGTCGCCGAGGCTGGAGTGCAATGGTGCGATCTCAGCTCACTGCAACCTCTGCCTCCCAGGTTCAAGTGATTCTCCAGCCTCAGCCTCTTGAGTAGCTGAGATTACAGGTGCCCGCCACACCTGGCTAATTTTTTTTTTTTTGTAATTTTTTTCTTTTTTAGTAGAGACAGGGTTTCACCATGTTGGCCAGGCTGGTCTCAAACTCCTAACCTGAGGTGATCCCCCCGCCTCAGCCTCCCAAAGTGCTGGGATTACAGGTGTGAGCCACCGCACCTGGTTTATTTATTTATTTATGAGACAGAGTCTCCCTCTGTCACCCAGGCTAGAGTGCAGTGGCATGATCTCAGCTCACTACAACGTCCACCTCCCGGATTCAAGCAATTCTCTTGCCTCAGCCTCCCAAGTAGCTGGGATTACAGGCACACGCCACCACAACCGGCTAATTTTTGTATTTTTAGTAGAGACGGGGTTTTGCCATGTTGGCCAGCCTGGTCTCCAACTCCTGACCTCAAGGTGATCCACCTGCCTAGGCCTCCCAAAGTGCTGGGATTACAGGTGTGAGCCACTGCGCCTGGCCTATTTTTTTTTTATTTTTTTAATTTAATTTTTATTTTTTGAGATGGAGTTTTGCTCTTGTCACCCAGGTTGGAGTTTAATGGCATGATCTTGGCTCACTGCAACCTCTGCCTCCCACATTCAAGCGATTCTCCTGCCTCAGCCTCCCAAGTAGCTGGGATTACAGGTGCCTGCTGCCACCAGGCCCGATTAATTTTTGTATTTTTAGTAGAGATGGGGTTTCACCACGTTAGCCAGGCTGGTCTCCAACTCCTGACCTCAAGTGATCTGCCTGCCTTGGCCTCCCAAAGTGCTGGGATTACAGGCATGAGCCACCACACCCGGCCTAAGCATCAAGTTTTAATTGTTTTTCACAGACAACTCTCTAAAACATATGACACAATCCCCTGCCTTGGTGAGAAGAGCATAGCAAACATATGACTCTTTCCCTCCTGGCTCAGGACCGTCACGATGGCACCTTGAACGGTTATCAACGCACACGCCGCCATCTTACTCCTTCGCAAATGTCCCCAGGCTACTGTGCTATCCAATTTTTAAAAATTGTCTTTCAAACACTCTGTTCCTCCTCCTCCTCCTCCTCCTAATTGAGTGCTTATGACCAGTTGTGTAATTTCCCCAATTCTCAGTGCCCACTCCTATGAAAGGGGAGGGCAGTACCCAACCCCCAACTCACACAGCTGGTGTGGTGATTAGAAAGCTAATGGGTCTGACGTGCCTCACTGTGCTCTGGTCACTAAAATATGAAACACATGGCATTGGCTTTAGGCGCAGGCAGTGGGCAGAAGCCTGGAGGAAGTTGGCAAGGGCTTGCAGGAAGGTTAAGAGATGATCCTGGCCCAAAAGTGCATGACCCTGCTACTCGGGAAGTTGAGGCAGGAGGATCACTTGAGCCCAGTAGGTCAAGATCACCCTGGGCAACATAGTGAGATCACATCTTTTTTTTTTTTTTTTTTTTTTTTTTTTGAGACGAAGTCTTGCTCAGTCGCCCAGGCTGGAGTGCAGTGGCGCGATCTCGGCTCACTGCAAGCTCCGCCTCCCGGGTTCACGCCATTCTCCTGCCTCAGCCTCCCGAGTAGCTGGGACTACAGGCGCCCGCCACCACGCCCGGCTCATTTTTTTTTTTTTTTTTTTAGTAGAGACGGGGTTTCACCGTGTTAGCCAGGATGGTCTCGATCACCTGACCTCATGATCCACCCGCCTCGGACTCCCAGAGTGCTGGGATTACAGACGTGAGCCACCATGCCCGACGATCACATCTTTTAAAAAAAAAAAAAAAAAAGAAAAGAAAAAAGAAAGAGGCCGGGTGCAGTGGCTCAGGCCTGTAATCCCAGCACTTTGGGTGGCCAAGGCAGGTGGATCACCTGAGGTCAGGAGTTTAAGACCAGTCTGGCCAACATGGTGAAACCCCATCTCTACTAAAAATAAAGAAATTAGCCGGGCGTGGTGTGGTGTGTCTGCAGTCCCAAGCTACTCAGGAGGCTGAGGCAGGAGAATTGCTTGAACCCGGGAGGCAGAGGTTGCAGTGAGCTGAGATTGAGCCACTGCACTCCAGCCTGGGCGACAGAGCGAGACGCCGTCAAAAAAAAAAGAAAATAAAGAAAATAAAATAAAAAAGGAAAGAGAGAAAGAAAGAGAAAGAAGAAGAGAAGGAGAGAGAGAGAAAAAAAGAAAGGAAGGAAGGAAGAAGGAAGGAAGGAAAGAAAGAAGGAAGGAAGGAAAGAAAAAAGAAAAACGCAAGCTGGGCGCGGTGGCTCAAGCCTGTAATCCTAGCACTTTGGGAGGCTGAGGCGGGTGGATTGCTTGAGCTCAGGAGTTCGAGACCAGCCTGGCCAACATGATGAAACCCTGTCTCTAATAAAAATTAAAACATTAGCTAGATGTGGTGGCTGGCACCTGTAATCCCAGCTACTCGGGAGGCTGAGGCAGAGAATTGCTTCAACCTGCGAGATGGAGGCTGCAATGAGCCAAGATCATGCCACTGCACTCCAGCCTGGGTGACAGAGCGAGACTGCATCTCAAAAAAAAAAAAAAGAAAAAGAAAAAGAAAAAAGAAAATGCTACTGGCTATTGGAGGAAAGGAACCCTTTCTCATGTGGTTGCAGAAGGTTTAATAAAACTGTTGCCTGCCATAGCATAGAAAGTAGACACCGAGCATACCTAGCTGACTTGTTGCTGTAGCTGATGAGTTTTCCAGGCAGGTCGTTGAAGGTGCTCCTGGCTCCTTCTGCCTATAATAAAATGGAAAAGGAGAGAGGGGAACTAGGAGCAAACGATTTCATTTTCCAGTGAAGCTGGGAGGAAATGTAAAGACCGGAACAGGCTTTTCAGCCAGCAAATGATTCTCAAAGTGAGAAAGGGCCTCAGGACAAAGAAGTCCAGAGGGGACTGTAAGATCCTTTATGAAGACCTCAGGGAAAAAAAGGAAAAGTGCCCCATAAACCCTTTCGGACAGACAAAGGCATTCTGAGGACCTTAGCGGCATTCCTTGCGGAGTTTCTCTGTTGAAGAGCAGGTCTTCTCAAATCACAAGGGTCTTTTCTCACTTGAAGCTGGGCGCGGTGGCTCACGCCTGTAATCCCCGCACTTTGGGAGGTGGGGTGGAGAAGAGCTTATCTCAGAAAGCGTTGTAGTGCTAAGGGAAAGAAGCCAACGTGAAAAGGCTGCAGCCTACTGCATGATTCCAACCAGACCATATTCTGGAAACAGCAAAGCTATGAAAACAGTAATCAGGAGCTGGTGCGAGGGAAGGAGGAAGGAATGGATGGTGTGCAAGGGATTTGTGGGGCAGTGAAACTATTCTATATGATGCTGTAATGGTGGATGCCTGACATTATTCATTGGGCAAGACCCATGTCGTGTAAAACGCAGAGTAAAACTGACTGTAAACAGTGGATCTTAGCTAATAATAATGTATTCATATTGGCTCATCGATTGTAACAAATGCACCACATTAATGCAAGATGTTAATGAGCAGGAAAGTTTCGGGGGGGTGAGCGGGGAGAGGAAGTTTTCGGGAATTCTCTGTACTCTCCAGGTAACTTTTTTGTTAACGTACAGCTGCTCCAAAAGAAAACATCTATTCTTTTTTTTAAGTTTTTTGAGGGAGGTTTTTTGTCTAATGGAATGAATTTTATTTTTATTTTATTTTGTTTTTTGAGACAGAATTTCGCTCTTGTTGCCCAGGCTGTGGTGCAATGGTGCAATCTCGGCTCACCGCAACCTCCGCCTCCCAGGTTCAACTGATTCTCCTGCCTCAGCCTCCCGAGTAGCTGGGATTACAGGCATGTGCCACCACACCCGGCTAATTTTGTGTTTTTGGTAGAGACGGGGTTTCTCCATGTTGGTCAGACTGGTCTCGAACTCCTGACCTCAGGTGATCCGCCTGTCTAGGCCTCGCAAAGTGCTGGGATTACAGGTGTGAGCCACTGCGCCTGGCCGGAATGAATTTTAGATTAGTACATAGGAAGTTCCCAAGTTGGGTTTTTTGTTTTGTTTTGTTTTTGAGACAGATCCTCACTCTGTCACCCAGGCTGGAGTTCAGTGGCGTGATCTCAGCTCACTGTGACCTCTGCCTCCCAGGTTCAAGCAATTCTCCTGCCTCAGCCTCCCGAGTAGCTGGATTACAGGCACCCACCACCATGCCCAGCTAATTTTTGTATTTTTAGTAGAGACAGGATTTCACCATGTTGGCCAGGCTGGTCTGGAACTCCTGACCTCAGGTGATCCACCCGCCTCAGTCTCCCAAAGTGCGAGGATTACAGGCGTGAGCCACGGCGCCCAGCCAAGTTTTTAAAGGAATTAATTTCTTGCACTAAATGGGATGAAGACAGGACAAAATGAAAGAGGCTTTTAGAGCCTCAACTTTTAAAGGAAGGAAATGGGCTGAGAGGGCTACTCAGTTGCAAACTCAGTTTTTTAAGAAAAGGGAAGAATAACTCAGGAAGGAGCCACGGGCACGGAGAAAACACCCCCGGGCTTGAAGAGCCCCCACGCCCAGGAGTCTCCTCCTCACCAGGCCTTGGTTTACACAGCTGGATCCTGGACCTCCAGTCTGAGCCCAAAACTAAAGTGGATGAGACTTCAGAAGTCTTGGGATGGGGCAAGTGGACTTCGCACGTGGGAGGGATGTGAGTTGTGGCCTGAAGATGGGCCGTGGCAGAGCAGGTTTTTCAGAACAGCCACAGCAAGATCTCCCATTCCACCCGCTTCTCCACCATGTGACCTTGAAACTCCTCCCACAGGGAGGAACTGTCCAACTGTAACTGACAGAGGAGGCAGAAGTGCCTGCCAAGAATGGAGGGTCTGGTCTGGGGACCAGCTGAAGGCTCATCGGGCTCATACTGCTGGCACCAGGGCTGTCGACCAGGGCACCTACTTGGGGGCTTCCCCACGGTAAGTTGCTTCTAAGATGACTATGCTGATCCTTGCCTCCCGGTACTCATGGCCTCTGTAACTCCTTTCTAAGCAACAGAATACCTCCATGCCGAGGGGCTGTTACTTTCACGATAAGGTTGCAAGAGATTCTCATTTGTCTTTCCAGCAGACTCCCTTCCTTGCTAGCTTTGATAGACTCAGCGGCTATGTTGGGAAGTCCTGCACAGGAGGAGCCCAAGGCTTGTGTCAGAGAAGGGGCTGCAGCTGCTACTGTGTTCTCTGGGCTCCTTGCATTCAGAGCCCGGAGCTACCAAGTGGGAGTCAGACCACCTGAGCCCTCATGTCGTGAGGATGCCCTAGGGACTGTATTAGTCATCTGTAACTGTGTAACAAATGACCACAGATTTCATGGTTTAAAACCACACACGTACTGTGTCACAGTCTCTATGGGCCAGGATTCTGAACGGGGCTTAGCTGGGTCTTCTGTCTCCTCTCAAGCTGGGGTTTCATCTGAAGGCTCAGCTGGGGAAAGATCTGCTTCCAAGCTCATGCAGTACTTGGCAGAATTTCATTTCTTTTTTGTTTGTTTGTTTTGTGTGTGTGTGTGTGTGTGTGTGTGTGTGTGTGACAGAGTTTTGCTCTTGTTGCTCAGGCTGGAGTGCAATGGCGCAATCTTGGCTCACTGCAACCTCTGCCTCCCAGGTTCAAACAATTCTCCTGCCCCAGCCTCCCAAGTAATTGAGACTACAGGCACCCACAACCATGCCTGGCTAATTTTTTGTATTTTTAGTAGAGATGGAGATTCACCACATTGGCCAGGCTGGCCTGGAACGTCTGACCTCAGGTGATCCACCCACCTTGGTCTCCCAAAGTGCTGGGATTACAGACATGAGCCACCGCGCCTGGCCTTGTTTTTTTGTTTGTTTTGTTTTGTTTTTTGTTGTTGTTTTGTTTTGAGACGGAGTTTCACTCTTGTTGCCCAGGCTGGAGTGCAGTGGCGTGATCTCAGCTCACTGCAACCTCTGCCTCCCAGCTTCAAGCAATTCTCCTGCCTCAGCCTCCCGAGTAGCTGGGACTACAGGCACCTGCCATCAGACCTGGCTAATTTTTGTGTTTTTAGTAGATAGGGGGTTTCATCATGTTGGCCAGCCTGCTCTCAAATTCCTGACCTCATGTGATCCGCCTGCCTCGGCCTCCCAAAGTGCTGGGATTACAGGCATGAGGCACCATACCTGGTGCAGAATTTCATTTCTTTAAGTCTTGAAGGGCCAGGTATAGTGGCTCACACCTGTAATCCCAGCATTTTGGGAGGCTGAGGCAGGAGGATAGCTTGAGCTCAGAAGTTTGAGACTAGCCTGGGCAACGTAGTGAGACCCTGTCTCTACACAAAATTTAAAGTTAGCCAGGCACAGCGATGCATGCCTGTAGTCCCAGCTACCCAGGAGGCGGAGGTGGGAAGATTGCTTCAGCCCAGGAGGTTGAGGCTGCAGTGAGCTGTGATTGTACCACTGCACTTCAGCCTGAGTGACAGAGCAAGACCCTATCTCAAAAATAAAATAAAAGTAAATAAAAATAAAAAGGTGGCTCAAAGACAGAGCACCTGAGTTCTTAGCCAGCTAGAAATGGGCTCCTCCTGTGTGGGCCTTCCCAACGTAGCCACTCGGCCTATCAAAGCCAATAAGGAAGGGAGTCTGCTGCCAAGAGGAAAATGAGAATCTCTTGCAACCTGATTGTTGCACAGAGGTATATTCTGTTGCTTAGAAAGGAGCTACAGAGGCTGTGAGTACCAGGAGACAAGGATCACTGCAGTCATCTTAGGATCAACACACCATGGGGAAGCCCCACGTAGGTGCCCTGGTCAGCAGTCCTGATCTTCAAATCTTCCCAGCCCCAGTGCCAGAAGTGTGAGCCGATGAGCCCCAGACGGTCCCCAGAGCAGACCTTCTCACACTGGCAGCAGATGTGAGACCTCCTGAGCCCGCCACTGCCTCTGACACCTGCCTCTGTCTCTGAGCTCTGCCACCTCCGCCTGCCTTTTCTTCTCTTCTGTCAACATTTTTTTTTTTTTGAGACAGAGTCTCACTCTGTCGCCCAGGCTGGAGTGCAGTGGCATGATCTCAACTCACTGCAACCTCTGCCTCCCAGGTTCAAGCAATTCTTCTGCCTCAGCCTCCCGAGTAGCTGGGACTACAGGTGCGTGCCACCACGCCCAGCTAATTTTTGTGTTTTTTGTTTTTTTTTTAGTAGACAGGGGGTTTCACGATATTGGCCAGGCTGGTCTTGAACTCCTGACCTTGTGATCTGCTCACCTCAGCCTCCCAAAATGCTGGGATTACAGGTGTGAGCCACCATGCTCAGCCTCTTCTGTCAACTTCTTTCCAGTCCTTTCCTCTGCCGCTTCCCCAGACTTCCAGGCCTGAATGATTAGACGTGGCTTTAACAGGCAACCAGGGAGATGGTTCCTGTCTTCTGGCTCCAGAGGGGCCCAGACACGCCAGGTCTGTGGCCACCTTTTCATCTTTGACTCAGTCAGCTGCTCTCTGCCTGCTTGGCTCAGCGTCTGCTGCTGACTGTACTCTCACTTTATGGCTGGCCCGGGGGCTTGCACTTGTTAGATGACTGAAGCTTTGCTACATGTGTGAAATTTATGGTGAAGGCGTGGCTACGCAGACCCTCCCATATGCCTGGTGCAAGTGTTCCGTGCTACCACCCTTCCGGAAAGCACTCTGGAAATATCCTCCAGAGCTTTCCAAATGCCCATGTGCTTTGTCCTGGTAATTACATTGCTTTTTCATTTACTGATTCAACATATATTTCTTTTTCTTTTTTTTTTTTTTTTTTTGAGACAAGAATCTCACTCTATCACCCAGGCTGGAGTGCAGTGGCGCCATCTCGGCTCACTGCAACCTCCCCCTCCCAGGTTCAAGCAATTCTCATGCCTCAGCCTCCCTAGTACCTGGGACTACAGGCGCCCGCCACCACACCCGGCTCATTTTTTGGTATTTTTAATAGAGATGGGGTTTCACCATGTTGGCCAGGCTGGTCTTGAACTCCTGACCTCAAGTGATCCACCCACCTCGACCTCCCAAAGTGTTGGGATTACAGCCATGAGCCACCACGCCCGGCCTCAACATATATTTCTTGATTACTCATTATGGGCCCCAGGATGGGGTGCTTATATTTTGATAGGGAAAACAGATGTTGATCAAATAATCTTAGAATAAATCCAAATAAAATGACAAGAGCTGAGATCAGGAATTCAAGACTAGCCTGGCCAACTGGTGAAACCCCATCTCTACTAAAAAATAGAAAAATTAGCTAGGCGTGGTGTCGGGGGCCTGTAATCCCAGCTACTTGGGAGGTGGAGACAGGAGAATCCCTTGAACCCCGGAGGCGGAGGTTGCAGGGAGTGGAGATCACGCCGCCGCACTCTATCCTGGACGACAGAGGGAAACTCTGTCTCAATAAATAAATAAATAACAAGAGCGGTATGGAGTGCTTATACGTTGGTAGGGAGAACAGATGTTGATCAAATAATCATATAATCCAAATAAAATGACAACAGCGGTAAAGGGTAAGTAGGTGCAAGGAGAGAGCAGGGACTCTCCCATGGTGGAGGGCAGGGAAGACCAGGTTGAGATGGGATGATGAGCAAGGATTAACCAGGAAAAACAGAGGGCTGAGGGTGCTGGCGGAGAATGGCCTGTGCAAAGGTCCTGTGGCTGCAAGGAGTGTGGTCCACACAAGGAATGGGAAGAGGGCCCTGGAGGTCAGAGCCCAGAGAGTCTGGAGACATAGTGGAGGAACCAGGCCTTGTAGACACATTAAGGAATTGGATTTTTATATTAAGAGGAGTAGGAAGTCAGAGAAAGTTCTGAGAGGGAAGCAGGGCTAGGCGATCTAATCTGCATTTTGCAATCTTGGTTCTCAGTGAGATGTGGAGTGACCGGACGGACCAGAGTCCGGTTAGGAGTCTAGGTTGTGCTTCAGGCAAGAGGAAATGCTGGCTTGGACCTAGGTTGGGGAAAGGGAGAGATGGGAATGTATTTGAGCAAAATTCCAAAGATAAAATCACCCAGAACTGGGGTTGGGCTGCATCTGGAGGCTGAGCTGGGGCGCGAATCGCCAGGGATGACTCTCAGGATTCCGGCGGGAGCAGCAGGATGGCAGGTGGCACCTTGCAGAGAGAGGACGGGCTGGCTCTGGGCGTGTCGTGTTGTGTGTTCAATGCATCCAAGGGGAACTACCAGGTGGGCGCTGGGATATATGGGTTGGTGTGCAGAGGCAGAGTCTCTGCTGGAAATATAACTCTGTGAGTCATCCAGGTAGAGGGGGGTACTGAGCTGTGGGACGAGATTGCTCAGGGCCCTGCCGTCAGGAAATAGACAGTCCGACCAAAGGTATGCACAAGGGTGTCTGTAGGAGCCCCATTTACAAGACCAAGAAATTGAAAACAAGCAAGTCTTCAATACTAGGTTGAGAGTTAAATAAATAAAAGTTCTCTGACTGGGTGGGAGAGTGTGCTCAACTGTGACAAGTGTCAATGAAAACCAGAGGAACCATCTCGGAACAGGTAGAGATGGTGGTAGCACAACACTGAATGAACTAAAGGCCCCTGAGTTGTTCATTTTCAAATGGTTCATTTTGTGTTATGTGAATTTCACTTTAATAAATTACTTTTTTAAGGCCGGGCGCGGTGGCTCACACCTATAATCCCAGCACTTTGGGAGGCTGCGGCAGGCAGATTGCCTGACGTCAGGAGTTCAAGACCACCCTGGCCCACATGGTCAAACCACGTCTCTACAAAAATATACAAAAATTAGTCGGGCATGGTGGCACGGACCTGTAATCCCAGCTTCTCTGGAGGCTGAGGCTAAAGGATTGCTTGAATCCAGGAGGCAGAGTTTGCAGTGAGCTGAGATCGCACCACTGCGCTCCAGCCCAGGCAACAGAGCAAGACTCCATCTCTAATAAAATAAAATAAAACATTTTTAAAATGAAGGCAACAGGTACTATATGTAAATAAAGATTTTACTTTATTTATTTATTTTGAGACGCAGTTTCACCCTGTCTCCCAGGTTGGAGTGCAGTAGCATGATTTCAACTCGCTGCAAACTCCACCTCTTGGGTTTGAGTGATTCTCCTGCCTCAGCCTCCCAAGTGGCTGGAATTACAGGCACGTGCCACCAGGCCCGGCTAATTTTGGTACTTTTAGTAGAGGCGGGGTTTCACCATGTTGGCCAGGCTGGTCTCAAACTCTTGACTTCAAGTGACCTACCTACCTTGGCCTCCCAAAGTGCTGGGATTACAGGCGTGAGCCACTGTGCCTGGCCGGATTTTGTTCTTGTAGAAAACAGAAACATAAAACATAATAAATGTAAAACATAATAAATGTAAAACATAAAAATACAGGAAGGCAATACACCAAATGTGACTTATTTTCTTCATTGTATTTTTCTCTGTTTTCCATATTTTCTATAATAAACTTACTTTCACATTTTGGAAAAAAAGATATACATGATATATACTGATATGTCCAGGAACATATCCATGTGTGATGAATATATTCATTATATTTTTATCCATGGACACATTTTTTGAAATCAATGTTAGTATATTATTTTATTTATTTATTTTTTTAGACAGGGTCTTGCTGTGTCTCCCAGGCTGGAGTACAGCAGTATGATTATAGCTCACTTCAGCCTCAACCTCCTGGGCTTAAGTGATCCTCCGGCCTCAGCCTCATGAATAGCTGGGACTATAGGTGCCCACCACCACATCTGGGTAATTTGCAAATTTTCTGTAGAGATGGTGTCTCACTCTATTGCCCAGGCTGGTCTGAAACTTCTGGGCTCAAGCCATCCTCCCACTTTGGCCTCCCAAAGTGCTGGGATTACAGGCATGAGCCACTGTGCCTATCTCAGTGTTATTATATACATACACTATATATATCGGGTTCAAGTAATTCTCCTGCCTCAGTCTCCCAAGTAGCTGGGATTACAGGCATGCACCACCACACCTGGCTAATTTTGTATTTTTAGTAGAGAGGGGGTTTCAGGCCAGGCATGGTGGCTCACGCCTGTAATCCTAGCACTTTGGGAGGCCAAGGCGGGTGGATCACTTGAGGTCAAGAGGTTGAGACCAGCCTGGCCAACATGGTGAAACCTCATCCCTACTAAAAATACAAAAATTAGCCGGGTGCAGTAGCTCATGCCTGTAATCCCAGCACTTTGGGAGGCCAAGTCGTGTGGATTGCGAGGTCAGGAGTTCGAGACCAGCCTGACCAACATGGTGAAACCCCGTCTCTACTAAAAATACAAAAATTAGCCAGGCCTGGTGGCACGTGCCTGTAATTCCAGCTACTCAGGAGGCTGAGGCAGGAGAATCGCTTGAACCCAGGAGGCAGAGGTTGCAATAAGCCAAGATCGCACCTTTGCACTCTAGCCTGGGCGACACAGTGAGCGTCTCTCAAAACAAAAACAAAAACAAAATTAGCTGGGCGTGGTGGTGGGCACCTGTAATCTCAGCTACTTAGGAGGCTGAGGCAGAAGGATCACTTGAACCCGGGAGGTGGAGGTTACAGTGAGCCGAGATTGTGCCATCGCACTCCAGCATGGGCAACAGAGCAAAAACTCCATCTCAAAAAAAAAAAAAAAAAAAAAAAAGAGACGGGGTTTCAACATGTTGGTCAGGGTGGTCTCGAACTCCTGACCTCAGATGATCCACCTGCCTCGGCCTTCCAAAGTGCTGCGATTACAGGCGTGAGCCACTGTGCCCAACCAGTGTTATTATACTTTAAAGGGTCTTTTGTTTTATCTTAAATTAATGAAAGCTTTTACAAGTAAACTCACTGTTATTAGGACCTAAAGCAAGTTTCGGTTTGTTTCTGGATTTAGGTGGTTTGGTCTGCAGCCAATTTTCAAGCAGTCTTTCGCCATCCGCTCCTGATGTGCGGTTTCCATGTACGCCTGCATTCTATAGAATATATGATGCAGAGTCTGAGATCACGCAGCTCACACACACTGATTCCCTCCCCACGAGGCAGGGTTCTGGGTCTGTCAGTAACTGAGGCCCACAGAGGCCTGAGCTTCCCCCCAGACCAGGCGAGCCAGGGCGCAGCCTCAAGCCCTGAGGTTCAGGCGCTCCTGGTCCTCCACACCAGGCTTCTGACAGCTGCTGGGCTCCCCCGAAGAGCGCCCCCTTCCTGGATTCATCACAAGCGCATCCTCAGAGAAGGCACTTCCCTCCCTCACCAGCAGCCTGAGCAGGGCATGGCTCCTCCTCATTAACTTGGGGACCACAGATGCTAGAGACACCCCCACTTCCCACCTTCTTTAGCGAATCACTCCACGGGGGGAGCCTGGTGCAGCCGCGCCCCTTGCGTTGCGCCTGCCTGCTGCAGGGTGCCCTCCGTCATGTGCATAGGTGTCAATGTCACACAGAAAAGAGGGCTCTGAGGTCACAAAGTGGCAACAGTTGAACGTGAAACAAACCTTCACAGGCTTCTCTTCATTGCTGGACTTCTCAGAGCCTGTAGGAGGCTCGTGGGGGCTGTGGGTGTCCATAAGGGCTACAGCATGCAGCATTTCCCAAATGTATTGACCCCAGAACCTTTTCATCACAAGGCACCTTGCCAGTTCCACGGGACACCCTTTGGGGAACATAGGCACTGTGGGATGGGGGTGGAGGGGCATCCATCAGCCACCGCAAGGCCACACACTAGAGGTCAGCCAGGTGTCCAACCCCAGCGCCAAATGTAGACTCCTCCCAACCTTGGCCTGGTCCTCCCTGCCTATGTCACCTCCTGCTGGCCTTGCCTGCTGCTCCTCTGTCCCTCCACATCCCTCCTTGCAGGGGGAGGAGCCAGGATGGGCTTTCTGTGAGGAAACTGCCACTCCAGGGTGAGAAGAAGATATGGGACTGGCGTCCTCCCTGACACTTCATCTGTGCCTTTTGCTCCAGGGGAAGAGAGGATCCCTGAGAAACATCAACAGAAAAGCCTGAGGCAAGCTCCCATCTAGCTCCCATCTAGAATCTCATCCTTTAGCTTCCCTCTAGCTCCCATCTAGAATCTCATCCTTTAGCTTCCATCTAGAATCTCATCCTCCAGCTTCCATCTAGAATCTCATCCTTTAGCTTCCATCTAGAATCTCATCCTTTTTTTTTTTTTTTTCTGAGATGGAGTTTTGCTCTTGTTGCCCAGGCTGGAGTGCAGTGGCATGATCTCAGCTCACTGCAACCTCTGCCTCCTGGGTTCAAGCAATTCTCCTGCCTCAGCCGCCTGAGTAGCTGGGACTACAGGCGTGCGCCGCCACGCCCGGCTAATTTTTGTATTTTTTGTAGAGATGGGGTTCCACCATGTTGGCCAGGCTGGTCTCGAACTCCTGACCTCAGGTGATCTGCCCACCTCGGCCTCCCAAAGTTCTGGGATTACAGGTGTGAGCCACCACGCCCAGCCTAGAATCTCACTTAATCTCAGCTTTCCCTCTTACTCGCCTCATGAGCCCTCCGGACCTGCAGGAGGGGCCAGTCACTGCCCTAGTGTCCCTCGTGCATTCCCACTCAGCGCTGCTCAAGCCATCCAGTCCCCGGCATGTTCTTTCTGCGGACTCTGATCTGTCCTCAGTGGAGAGGGGCTTCTCCTGCTGTGGGGCTGCCTCCTCTGAACAGCCGGAGCAGGCACTTGTCTCAATGGTGGGGGGAGGCCCAGGTCTCTCTGCACACTGGAATCTTCAGGAACTTTAAAAAGTACCCACCCCAGAACAATTAAATCAGAATATCTGGGCCTGGAGCTTTTTTCAGTGCTCCCTGGGCTGAGAACCATGGGTCTGGTAGAGGGAACCCAGAGATCAAGGTGGAAATTCCACTTCTGCTACAAACCAGCTCTGTGCTCTTCAACACGGTCCTTCAACATCTGAGCCCCAGTTTTCTTATCTGCTCTGTGGGGGACAGCAATGCCCGTGCCATGGGTGGGGTTGGGGATAATATACCTATTGTTTCACTCTTCCTGGGGCGCTACTGCACCCCCAGGTAGATGGTGAGTGATGGAGGGCAGGGAGCCTGACTATAGCCTGGACGCCAGTGCTTCCCTCAGTGCTGTGTGCAGAGACGCCTGATGAAGATTTGATGACGGATTGAAAAGCCACTGCGGGACCAGCCTGGGAAACTGAACCCCACGCAGGCCTCTCTCGTAGGCAACCGGCCAGGTAGAGAAAAGCCAGGTGTCTCCACTTATCACAAGGGCAATCGTAGCACAGCTCTCAAGAGTAAGTGAATCTTAATTTGCTTTCATTAAAAACATAAATAAATACCCCTGCCAAGCGGCGCTGGTGGGGGTGTTGCGAAACGGGCTCCAGGCCCACAGGGGCTGCAGCTGCAGGTGGCTCGGGTCGCAGGGAGCAGAGTCAGGAGACGAGAGTCACTCGGCCACTCGGCGCCCACAGGCATCATCTCAGGTCTCCTTAGCACACTCTGCTCAGTCCCAAATCTCCTTGAAAGTGTCTTTTGGCGAGGACTGCCTGATAAAATACAGGCCGCCCAGTTACACTTGAATTTCAGATAAGCGGCAAATAATTTCTGTTAGTATAAAATATTTGGGACATATTTACACTAAAAGAAATGATTGTTTATCTGAAATTCAGGTGTAACTGCGTAGCCTGTAGTTTTACTTCCTAAGTCTGGAAACCCAGAGGCTTCACCACCACCACCCCCATACCTCCCGCCACCCCGACCTACACAATTAGCCCTAAAAGAGATCACTGCTGACCCCTCCCCCGCTCCCAGCCATTCAGGGCTCCCAGACACCAGGCTGAGGGCCGAGGCCAGCCTGTGACAAGTTCTCACCTGTCCAAGGCAAAAGGAGATAAAAGAAGACAACGCAAAGAGGTTGTTTTGTAAAGCTGAAGGTGTTCAAAGGACTGGTCTTCATTCTTTTTTTTCTTTCCTTTGTGTGTGTGTGTGTGTGTGTGTGAGAGAGAGAGAGAGAGAGAGAGAGAGAGTGTCCTCAAAAAATAAAACAATGCTATCTAGTAACTGGCCACTGAAAATTTTTTTGTTGTTTTTTGAGACAGGGTCTCACTCTGTCACCCAGGCTGGAGTACAGCAGTGCCATCGTGGCTCACTACAGCCGTGACCTCCTGGGTTCAAGCAATCCTCCCACCTCAACCTCCCGAGTAGTTGGCACTACAGGTGTGTACCAACACACCTGACTAATTTTATTTATTTACTTTTTTAGTAAAGATGAGGTCTTGTTATGTTGCCCAGGCTGGTCTCCAACTCCTGGCCTCAAGCAATCTTCCTGCCTCAGCCTCCCAAAGTACTGGGATTACAGGCATAAGCCACCGCACCTGGCCTGAATTTTTTTTTGAGAAGGAGTTTCACTCTTGTCGCCCAGGCTGGAGTGCAATGGCGCGATCTCGGCTCACTGCAACCTCCGCCTCCCAGGTTCAAGTGATTATCCTGCCTCAGCCTCCCAAGCAGCTGGGATTACAGGCATGCACCACCATGTCCAGCTAATTTTTTTTTTTTTGTATTTTCCATGTTGGCCAGGCTGGTCTCAAACTCCTGACCTCAGGCGATCCACCTGCCTCGGCCTCCCAAAGTGCTGGGATTACAGAGATGAGCCACTGCGCCCGGCCGAAAATTTTTGTAAATAAGGAAATAAAACATGGCAGTAGCAAGTAGTGTGTGTCTTTAGAAATACATGTCTTTTTGGTCACATAAAAACTGAATGACCCCATCAAAGCCCTCTAGTTTTGAAAAAAAAAAAGAGATACAGGATCTCAAAATCCCAATTCCAAAGCCTGGGGAGCTAAGATGACTGTTCCAACCCCAGGGTCAGGGTCAGACCAGCCACAGGCACTCTCCAGCCCTGGCATCCCCCACAAGCCCTGCCCCCTCATCCCTCCTGGGCCCATCTGACTGACTTCAGTGTTTTGTGCTCAGTTGCCCTCAGCTGGCACTTCCCACCTTCTCAGCCCCTCCCCTGGCTGCAGCAGGGGCTCAGAGCCACTTCTTGAATGTGGGGCTGCAGATCTGGCCTGTGACCCTCCCTGCATGTCTCTTCCTTTTTTTTTTTTTTTTTTTTTTTTTTTTTTTTTTTTTTTGAGATGGAGTTTCGCGTTTCGCTCTTGTTGCCCAGGCTGGAGTGCAATGGCGTGATTTCGGTTCAATGCAACCTCCACCTCCCACGTTCAAGCGATTCTCCTGCCTCAGCCTCACAAGTAGCTAGGATTACAGGCCTGCGCCACCACGCCTGGCTAATTTTTGTATTTTTTTTTTTTAGTAGAGATGGGCTTTCTCCATGTTGGTCAGGCTGGTCTTGAACTCCCAACCTCAGGTGATCCGCCTGCCTCAGCCTCCTAAAGTGCTGGGATTACAGGCGTGAGCCACTGTGCCCAGGCTGCATGTCTCTTCCTAGCTGAGAACCTTGGGGAGAAAAAGTCACGTGACTTATCTGATATTTTGTTTCATTACCCATGAAGTGGAGTTAATGACCCCCGCCCCACGCCCGAGTTGTTCGAGATTTTTGAGCAGACGCTACATGGATATGTCCACATGTGAACGTTCATCATGTTGCACACTTACAATGTGTGCATTTTTCTATGTCGATGTTATAATTCAACAAAATAGTTTATCAAAAATTAGCAATTAACTTCAATTAGCAAGCAGGCTTCCAATAGAGAGAAACTGATAGCATTTATCTTGCAGGGAAATTTTATTACCTCCAACTTTTAAATAGGAACAGTTTTTTGTTTTTTTTTTTAGACAGAGTGTTGCCCTGTCACCCAGGCTGGAGTGCAGTGGCGCAATCTTGGCTCACTGCAACTTCCGCCTCCTGGGTTCAAGCAATTCTCCTGCCTCAGCCTCCCGAGTAGCTGGGACTACAGGTGCACACCACCACGCCTGGCTAATTTTTTGTATTTTTAGTAGAGACGGGGTTTCACCATATTGGACAGGCTGCTCTCGAACTCCTGACCTCAGGTGATCCATCCGCCTCGGCCTCCCAAAGTGCTGGGATTACAGGCGTGAGCCACCGCGCCCGGCCGGGAACAGTAATTTATTATTTGTGGCCTGCATGAAGCTGGCAGGGCCTCCCCACTGTGGGGAAAAAAAACACTCAGCTGAACTCACATTTGAGTTGGTTTGATGAGGCCTTATTTTTAAAAATTAACCTCCAAACCCATTACATTCCAAAAAACTAAAAATTTACACTGCTTTTCTATTTTAATGGGCTCACAATAAAAGAAAATATTTAAAGCATTAAAAAGATGGCATTTTAAGTTCATTTTTCAAGTCATCCCGTATAGCAAAGACAGATAAACTTTAAAAAGAAAAAATTAAAAGATATAGCCATAATTTTTTAAAAAGTAAGATAACCATCTCCATGTAACAGATACTAAAAATGAGGCAGGGCACTGGAGCCACTCATAGGGGTGGGGACAGGGCTTCCCAGCTGTGTACCTGGAGAGGGGAGAAAGCAGCCATGGCCTCAGAGCCCTGGCACCCAGGGACTCAGCACCCGGACAGCAAAATCCCCAGTAGCCCCCGGGAGGTGGGAACTCTGAGCCAACAACACACGACCTCACCATTTGGGGGAGAGAGTGGGGGAGAGAAGGTGCGGGGAGAGAGAGCAAAAAAGAGGAGAAAGAGAGAGGAAGAGGAAGAGGAAGAAAGAGAGACAGAGATTGACTGAAATGAGAGAGGCATTTACCCAAGACAAACCTACACACCTCACCCCAACCACATGGCAAAGCTGCTGCTAATAAAGACAATTAAGAAAAATCAACCCTTAAATCATTGCAGGTGAAATGGAAATAACGGAAGAATCTGAAAATGATTTCAAATTAAAATGTTTAGGATCATCAAAGAAAACAAGAAGTTGTAAAACCAAAACTGGCTTAAGGCCAGGCGCAGTGGCTCATGCCTATAATCCCAGCATTTTGGGAGGCCCAGGCAGGCAAATCACGAGGTCAGGAGTTCGAGACCAGCCCGGTCAATATGGTGCAAACCCCGTCTTTACTAAAAATATAAAAAATTAGCTAGGTGCGGTGGCGCTCACCTGTAGTCCCAGCTACTCAGGAGGCTGAGGCAGGAGAACTGCTGGAACCTGGGAGGCAGAGGTTGCAGTGAGCCGAGATCACGCCACCGCACTCCAGCCTGGGTGACAGAGTGACACTCTGTCTAAAAAAAAACACAAAAAAAACAAAAAAAACTGGCTTAAATAAGAACAGGTGGTCACGAAAAATAATCAGTGAGAAATCCTGGAAGTTAAAGGTATGATTTTTATTTATTTTAGTTTTTTCTTCCTTCTAAAATTTTTTTATATTCTCTTTTTAAAAAATGTTTTTCATGGGCCAGGCATGGTGGCTTACACCTGTATTCCCAGCACTTTGGGAGGCCAAGGTGGGCAGATTGCTTGAGCCCAGGAGTTTGAGATCAGCCTGGGTGACAAAGTGAGACCTCATCTCTACAAAAAAAAATTTAAAATTAGCTGGGTGTGGTTGATGCATACCTGTAGTCTCAGCTACTTGGGAGGCTGAGGCAGGAGAATCATTGGATCCCAGAAGTTTGAGGTTGTAGTGAGCTATGATTGTACCACTGCACTTCAGCCTGGGTGACAGAGTGAGACCCTGTCTCAAAAAAAAAAAAAAAAAAAAAGCTTTACATTTTAGTATTTATATATTACATTTTTCACCCTGTTGTGGTCTGTGTGCAAAAGGTGTAATTATTGAAATTAAGAAGCCAACAGACAGAATGTAGTTGGCTGGATACATTGAAGAGAGAATAAGTTAGTTGGCTGATGTCACCGAGAGTGTGGTAAAGAACAATATAGATGAAACAGGCCGGGTGCAGTGGCTCACACCTGTAATCCCAGCACTTTGGGAGGCCGAGGCAGGCAGATTACTTGAGGTCAGGACTTCCAGACCAGCCTGGCCAACACGGTGAAACCCCATCTCTACTAAAAATTCAAAAATTTGCTGGGTGTGGTGGCGGGAGCCTGTAGTACCAGCTACTCGGGAGGCTGAGGCAGGAGAATCACTTGAACCTGGGAGGCGGAGGTTGTGGTGAGACCATGCTACCACACTCCAGCCTGGGTGATAGAGCGAGATTCCGTCTCAAAAAGATAAAAGGAGCAGGATTACTTGTTCACCTCGTTCTCTGGGCACTGAGGATTGGCAAGTATGGTCCTCAGGCCAGTTTCTGTGGCCCCCAGGAAATTCTACAAATGCATGAATAATGGGTCAGGACCCACAGTCTCGGTGATCCAAAGCTCACAGGTGATGCACGCTCCTGCAGAATAGAAAGAAGGGACAATCCTGGCTCCTGATGGCGCTGATGGTTTGTTTTCATAAATGTCCATTTAACAGCTGCGACAGCTGGAGATCATTGTTCCTGGGGCATCTCGCTCTACCCCAGCTATGGTCCCTCTGAGCAGCCCCTACAAACACGGGAACCCACCAGAGGCCGAAGAGCCCTAGAAGAGACCAACCTTGGCAGTCCCATAACTGCACTGCCTTACTGTCCCCAAGGCAGACCATTCCCTTGCTCCCTCCAGGGGACACCCATAGCCCCCAGGGGCCACCTGGCTGCAGAAGGCCCCTGCACGGGGATGATTCTCAAGATTCTGATTTATTCATACCCTCCATATTTTCCCAGGCCGTATTCTAAGATGTCAGGGATTTTGTGCAGGGCACAGGGCAGAAGCTGATGTGAGACGTGGGTACCTCCTGTCTCTTCAGAAGAGCTGTGCTCGCCGGCTGCACATGGCGGATGAAGGAGGGGTGTATCTTAGTCCATTCTCATGCTGCTATAAAGAAATTCCCTGAGACTGGGTAATTTATAATGGAAAGGGGTCTTTTGTTTTTATTTTTATTTATTTATTTATTTTGAGATGGAGTTTCCCTCTTGTTGCCCAGGCTGGAGTGCAATGGCATGATCTTGGCTCACCGCAACCTCCGTCTTCTGGGTTCCAGTGATTCTCCTGCCTCAGCCTCCTGAGTAGCTGGAATTACAGGCGCCCGCCACCACACTCAGCTAATTTTTTGTATTTTTAGTAGAGATGGGGTTTCTATGTTGGCCAGGCTGGTCTCGAACTCCTGACCTCAAGTGATCCACCTGCCTCGGCCTCCCAAAGTGCTGGGATTACAGGCATGAGCCATCACGCCCGGCCGGGAAAGAGGTTTAATTGACTCACAGTTTTGCATGGCTGGGAAGGCCTCAGGAAACTTACAGTCATGGCGGAAGGTGAAGGGGAAGCAAATACCTCCTTCACAAGGTGGCAGGAGAGAGAAGAGTGAGCGAAGGAACTTGCCAAACACTTATAAAACCACCAGATGTCGTGAGAACTCACTCACTCACCGTCCTGAGAACAGCATGGGGGAACCGCCCCCATAATCCAATCACCTCCCTCCCTCGACACATGGGGATTACAGGTCCCTCCCTTGACACGTGGGGATACAAATCGAGATGAGATTTGGGTGGGAACAGAGCCGAACCATATCAGGGTGCCTTGACAAAGAGAGAAACCGGAGATCCCAAGCCGAGGAGAAGTTGGAGGTTGGTCCTGAGGGCAGTGGGGCTGGCCTGGTGCGTCTCTGAGGGGAATAGCCATATGGCGCCTGTGGGAGGGGCCCCAGGATTGGGTCCTAGTCTCTCCAGTGTGGACACAGAGCCACGAGGCAGAAAGTACCACGAGATTGTGACCATGTTTGTTTCAGCAGACCCGGCCAGGATGGACAGTGATCAGGGCCCACTCTGAAAGGCCTGGGACCTTTGCACAACCACGGTGGTGGTGACAGCTGTTGGGGGGAGTTGGGAGCAGGAACCCTAAATGACAGATGGTTTCCTGTCCACTCAGCAGGCTGAGGGTCCACCTGGAAGATACCAAGGCGATGGGGCTTGGTGCCGTCCTGAGTTTGCAGGCCGAGGCTCACGCTGCTCTGCCAACACTCACATACAGTATCCGCGTAAGCCAAAGAAACCCCCCGAACTTGGGACAGGCAGCTCCTTGCTGTGGGCCACACACGGGCTCGGGAAGGACCAGTGACTCAGGGGCTTTCATTGTTTCAGATCAAAGGCTGAGTGTGGCCAAGTGAAGGAGAAAGCCCCTGTGCGGGCACCTGCAGAGGCGTCCACCCTGCCCAGGGGCCTCTGGGGACGCAGCGCCCACCCTGCCCAGGGGCCTCTGGGGACGCAGCGACCCACTGACCAGTGAGCGCAGATGAGCGACTGCACCTCTCTGCTTCAGCTCTTCATGGCCAGATGGGAGGACAATCCCCACCTTGCAAGGTGGCGTTAAGGACTGAGAAAGAACGAGCACCAGGCCTGGCCCCATGAGCACTGCTGGGTCTGGATCCAGGCGCCGTCCACCTTCCACCCGGCAGCACTAATGCTTCCCTCCCCGGCTGCACTGGCCCTTATCTGGGGGTCAGGAACTCACGTGCTGAATAAAGAGCAACTCTTTTCCAGACAGGAACGTTGGGTGTAGCAGGGACAGGCACTGGGGCTGAAGTTGCTTTTCCAAGGAGACGGTTTGGAGTGGTGCCTTCCAGAAAGGAGCATGGTAAGGTGAAGGAAAGGAAGCTGGAGAGGGTGAGGAGGGGCTGTTTCAGGAAATGAAGCTGAGGGGAAGTGGCTCAGGATGTGGAGGTGGAGGAGGTGATAGAATGGAGGAGGTGATGGGAATGGAGGAGATGATGAGGATGGAGGTGATGGGGATGGAGGAGGTGGGGAGATGATGGGATGGAGGAGGTGACAGGAGGTGATGGAGATGGGGAGGAGGTGATGGAGATGAAGGAGGTGGGGAGGTGATGGGAATGGAGGAGGTGATAGAATGAAGGCGATGATGGGAATGGAGGAGGTGATGAGGATGGAGGAGGTGATGGGGATGGGGGAGGTGATAAAATGGAGGAGATGATGGGAATGGAGGAGGTGATGGGGATGAAGGAGATGGGGAGGTGATGAGGATGGAGGAAGTGATGGGGATGAAGGAGGTGAGGATGGAGGAAGTAATGGGGATGGAGGAGGTGATGGGGATGAAGGAAGTGGGGAGGTGATGGGGATGGAGGAGGTGATGGGGATGGATTCCATTCTGGCCTTCCCTCATACCCTATGGGCCTCCTTCATCACTTTGGTTAACAACTTAGGCAGTTCCCAAAGCTGTTCATCTAGCTTCAGCAAATGAACCATCTCATCTTGGCCAATCCAGGCTTGCTGTCCCATATTAAAATAACCAAACCAGTCTAAGTCAAAACTTCCGTCTCACATCTGATGGCAAGCTGCAGGGGGCAGTAGTAGGGATCAGCCCTTCTACCTCCTTGCTCCCCTCCACCCTCATACATGCCTCCTCTCTCCCATCCCCTGCAAAGGACATCCTCCAGGGCACCCCTCCCCCAGGCAGCCCCACCCACCCCAGCTGCTGGTCCTTGTGGTTCAGTGCCATCCAGGCAGCGAGCCCTTCATGAGCCTCCCACCTGAACCTACCCTCCTGGTGTTGCATGGCAACTTCGAGCACCCTTCCCTGGGAAACGCTGGAAATGTGGAGGGTGACCTGCCCAGGCAGCTCCAGCCACCCTTCAGAAGGCTCCAGGGGCAGGGCTGCTGCCTCTCTGCACCCAGCCCCAGCCGAGGTGGCCAAGCCCTCCCAAGAAAGCTCCCCACTTCTGCCTGGGGCCAGGACTCGAGTTCAGAAAACCACCAGCAGAGGCTCCTTTGCCAGGGGTGCTCGGGGGGCCCCCTATCCTGGCTTGAGTCCCTTCACAGTCCCATCTCTATTCCTCAAAACTTGCCTCCAGCAAGCCCCTCTGATATGAGCCCTCGTTTGCAAGTGGCTTTGGCTCTGGGCTTTATGCTGCAGATTCACTGACACCTCATCACAGTTCCTCTAGCACCCATTTCACAGATGAGGAAACAGAAGCACAGAGAGCTTAAGTCCCCTGCTTGAGGTCTCACAGCTTCTCTGCAGGGGAGCCCAAATTCAGTTCCTGGCAGCAGCATGCTTCCCGGTCTGTGCCCGTAACCCCACTGCAGCTCTCTGCTGGGACCGTATGCCACCTTTTGAGATGTCCAACATTGACACGTCAGGCACCCTGTCTGCACTGAGCAGACACGTCGGGCACCCTGTCTGCACTGAGCAGGCACGTCGGGCACCCTGTCTGCACTGAGCAGGCACGTCGGGCACCCTGTCTGCACTGAGCAGGCACGTCGGGCACCCTGTCTGCACTGAGCAGGCACGTCGGGCACCCTGTCTGCACTGAGTAGGCACGTCGGGCACCGTGTCTGCACTGAGTAGGCACGTCGGGCACCGTGTCTGCACTGAGTAGGCACGTCGGGCACCCTGTCTGCACTGAGTAGGCACATGGGCATTCTCTGCTTTCCAGCTTCATCCAAAATCCCAGGCATCTGGGAAAGTCCCTGGTCACAGGGAGCCCAGCGATTCCTGGTGTGGGAGGGTAAGGGAATAGAGGAGTGGTTCTTCTCCACCCTGCCTCTGCCCTGAAAGACTTATTCACTGGCAACGTCCCCTAGAAAGAGGCCTCTGAGCTCCTAACCACAGGGTGCAGGACCCAGTAGCTCATGTCTGTGCCTCGTGCCGGGTGGCACGCTGACCCGGCTGCAACCAGCCAGTGGTGACTCAGGCCTCGGAAATGACAGGCTTCCGTGGAGACAGAGGGCGCCGGGGTCGGGGAGGCAGCCCACGAGGAGCTTAAACCCCCACTGGGGGAGGGAGAGCAGGACAGAGCTGGATGGCAACATGAGAGGCCGGGGGTGTGAGTGAGGCCTCTGCCCACAGGTGACCCGGGTCACACCTTCCAGGAGCCACAGACAGGCCCCAGCAGGAGGAGCTGGGGGACACACACAGGCCCCAGCAGCAGAGGTGGAGTGGTTGCAGGACAGGCCTGGAGGGCAGGGGAGGGGCTGAGCCTCCGCAGTGGGCAAGAAGATCGGCCTCACAGCGCTGACGGTCAGGAGGCCCAGTCTGCCGCCCCATGCTGTGTGCCTATGAGGCCCCACGGGCCTCAGCTTCCTATTCTGTGACAGGGAGCAGCCCCCTCACCTGGCCAGGTGCCAACTGAGAGAGAGCTTGGCCCTGGGCAGGGCCACCTTCCTGTGTGCTGAATCGTCACCTGGAGGCAAGACCGGAAAGTGTTCTCACTGTATTGCATTCCTGGGCCCGAGGAGCTCTTTCACAGGGCTGAGCCGTGGATGAAGTGCTTATGAATTGGCACAAAGAGGGGGCCGGGTCTGATTCATCTGTGTGCCCCATCCGCACCCCATACAGGATCGGGCACAGAAAGACATTTCCCATGGTTACAGGAGGAAATAGAGTAGGATGGGGAAGAACTGGCCTCTGAGGTCCCTCTTTCTTCCCACCCTATCCCCCAAAAGTTGCCTTCCTGGACCCCCCTGCCCCCGTGTCCCCCACATAGGTGTTTACACGCTGATCAGTGGTGGAGATTCCAGGCAACAAGGAGCTGGGAGGCTGAACAGGTACTGGAAGCCAGTGGCCAATGCCCCTGGAACAGAGCCCTGTGGCCGAGCTGCGAGCTCTGTTAGGTCTCCAGCTTATGGCTCCCATGAAGGGCCTTGCCCTCCTGCCAGGGGCAGTATAACAATCTACCCAAATGCCCATGGACCCCTCTGGAGGCTTGTAAAGCCCCAAACTCCTGTTTGCTGCGAACTTACCAGGCTCGGCCACAGGGGCAGGGAGAACGTCCGGCCGGAGCGCAGGGAAGGAAGGTTGGGTCTCTGGAGTCCGCGGGGGTGGGGGGCTCCCTCCCAGGTCTCGCCCTTCAGCTTTTCTGTTTCCCACTTCAGGGCCACACGTCCGTCGTTCCGAACCTCCAATCACATTGGTAACCAACATCATGGGTTCCCAGTGGCCCCGTTGTGGGGTCTTTTCCTCCTGGGGTCTCTGCTGGGGCTTCTCCCTCTCCTCGCTTCCGGCCATCCCCTTCGCTGGGGAGCAGTTGGCTGCTTTTCCGCAGCCAGTGCCTTTCGCGGGTCCAGTTGATCCTATGAGATGCACCATGGAGGGGTAAATGCAGCCTGGGCTCCTCCAGAAGCCAGGGTGCCCACTGCTGCGTGGAGATGCTACCAAGCGTTCAAGTTGTGCGGGTTGTGGAAGAAGCTGGTGAGCCCTGGAGTCAGGCCTGGAACTCAGAACCGAGCGTGAGTCAATCCCTCTGCTTTTCACCGGGAAAAATCTTCCTGGCTCGAGGTCCTGGGTTCATCACTTTCTTCAAACAAACACTCAATCAAACACTTAGAGACTTCCGGTCTGGGTAAGATGGCCTAAACCCGACCCTCCCTGTTCCTGTCTGCTAAGCCCTGGAAAGAATGTAAGAGGCAACCCTAAGAGGGCCCTGAGGTGGAAGGAGCAGGAGAGCTGGTAAAGGACCCCAAGGCTGGGTCAGGAATATTTATCAACAGGGCATTATGACACCCCTCACCCCCACCCAATACAGGACCCGCCCAGGCGTGCATTTCCCAACTCCCGACCTAGCAACAGAAGGCAGCCAAGTAGGCTCCTTTCTCTCCTAGATTAAAGGCAAGTCGCCCCAACACACTAGGCAAGGCTGGGCCCGATTGCTCACAGCTGTAATCCCAGCGCTTCAAGACAGGAGGATCTCTTGAGACCAGGGATTTGATACCAGCCTGGGTAACCCAGCAGACCCTGTCTCTACAAAGAAAACTTAAAAATTAGCCGGGCATAGTGGCAGCTGCGTACAGTCCCAGCTACTCAGGAGGCTGAGGTGGGAGGATCACTTGAGCCCAGGAGATCAAGGCTGCAGTGAGTTATGATCGCACCACTGTACTCCAGCGTGGGCAACAGAGTAAGACCTGTAAAAAAAAAAAAAAAAAAAGCTGGGCACAGTGGCTCACACCTGTGATCCCAGCACTTTGGGAGGCTGAGGCGGGTGGATCACCCGAAGTCAGGAGTTTGAGACCAGCCTGGCCAACATGGTGAAACCCCGCCTCTACTAAAAATACAAAAATTAGCCGGGCGTGGTGGTGGGTGCCTGTGGTCCCAGCTACTCAGGAGGCTGAGGCAGGAGAATCGCTTGAACCTGGGAGGCAGAGGTTGCAATGAGCCAAGGTTGCGCCATTGCACTCCAGGCTGGGCGACAAACTCAAAAAAAAAAAAAAAAAAATGAACAACAAAAAACCCACCAAGCAAGCCAGGCAGAACCACCAAAGGGGTTGGCCCAGCACCCTCCTGCTAATTATTGGCCAGGGTTAACCCTTTCCTCCTCACTGGACCTGAAATTCCACTCCCCCACCCAAAATCATGGCACAGCAGAGAGAGGGGGAGACGTTGATGGCAGGGAGAAAGCCCACCACAAGCAGAAGGCCTGTCTGTCCCTGTGAGCGGGAGACTCCCTTCTCCCACCTGGAGGCAATGAATGTCCAGCCTGGGAAAGCTCCTTCTGCCTCCTTAAGCAGCACCACACAAGCCGAGCTGACCTCTATAGCACGGCAGAGGCTCTGCAAATCAGATTTTCATTGGAACCACAGCCCCCAAAAGTAGCCCAAGACCTGGGTGCTAAACCTAAGCAGGGCCGCTGCTACCAAAGTAAAAAATGCAAACAGGACCTGAAGTCTCCTCACCTAATAGCCACAATGTCCAGGATATGGTGAAATTCACTCATCCCACCAAGAACTACGAAAATCACAATGTGAGTGGGAAGACCGTCAACTGAACCCTGAGATGAATCAGACGTTGGAGTTACGTGCCCAGGATTTTACTCTTTTTTTTTTTTTTTTGGAGACAGTCTTACTCTGTCACACAGGCTGGAGTGCAGTGGTGCGATCTCAGCTCACTGCAACCTCTGCTTCCTGAGTTCAAGCGATTCTCCTGCCTCAGCCTCCTGAGTAGCTGGGATTACAGGCATGTGCCATCATACCCGGCTAATTTTTGTATTTTTAATAAAGACAGGCTTTCACTATGTTAGCCAGGCTGGCCTCGAACTGCTGACCTCAAGTGATCCACCCTCCTCGGCCTCCCAAAGTGCTGGAATTACAGGCATGAGCCACTGCGCCCAGCCATGTGACCAGGATTTTAAAGCAACCATCAAAAAAAACACATAAAAATAAAAAATTCAACAAGCAATTGCAAATTCTCTTGAAACAAATGAAAATATAGAAATTCTCAGCAAAGAAATAGTGGGTATTTAGAAAGAACCAAATGGAAATTACAGAACTGAAAAATGTCATTGCAGAAATTTTAAAAACTCCCTGATGGGCTCAGTTGTAGAGTGGAAATGACAGACGACAGAATCAGTGAATCTGGGGACAGATCAATCCAAAGTACCCAGTCTGAACCACAGGGAGAAAATAGACGGATAAGAAATAAACAGAACGTCCACATCCAATGGGACCATAACAAACAAATCTGACACTCACATCATAGGGGCTAAGGAGGAGAAGAGAGTGAGGCTGAAGGAGTATTTGAAGAAATAATGGCTGAAAACTTTCCAAATCTGGTAAAAGACATAAGCTTACAGATTCAGGAAACTGAACTTCAAACAGAAGAAGCCAAAGAAATCTACACTGAGATATCATCATTAAACTTCTGAAAACTAAAGACAAAAAATCTCCTCAGAACAGCCAGAGAAACAACACATTACCTATAGGGACACCAGTTCAAATTATCTCATCTGAAACTACGGAGGCCAGAAGTGATGTGGATGACTTGAGGTCAGGAGTTTGAGACCAGCCTGGCCAACATGGTGAAACCCCGACTCTACTAAAGTTACAAAAAATAGCCGGGTGTGGTGGCACATGCCTGTAGTCCCAACTACTTGGGAGGCTGAAGCACGAGAATTGCTTGAGCCTAGGGATTGTGGGGCCAAGACTGCTGATGGGGGGTGGGGTTGAGCTGTGATGGTGCCACTGCACTTCAGCCTGGGTGACAGAGTGAGACTCTGTTTCAAAAAAAAAAAAAAAAAATCAGTAACAGAAAGACTACAGGAAAATCTCTAAACACTTGGAAATTGAACAGTACACCTCTAAATATCCACGTCAATGAGGAAGTCTCAAAGAAAATTAAGAAATCTATAAAACTGAATGAGAATTAAAGGACAGCATACCAAAATATGTGGGATGCATCTGAGGCAATGCTGAGAAAGAAATTTTCTTATTTTTATTTTTTATTATTTTTTTGAGACAGAGTCTTGCTCTGTTGCCCAGGCTGGAGTGTAGTGGTGTGATCACAGCCCACTGCAGCCTCGACTCCTCAGGCTCAAGCAATCCTCCCACCTCAGCCTCCTGATGAACTGGGACTACAGGAACATGCCCCCCACACCTAGCTTGCTTTTTTTCTTTTTTTGCTAGAAACAGGGTTTTGAGGTTGCTCAGTCTTGAACTCCTGGCCTCAAGTGATCTTCCCGCTTCAGCCTCCTAAAGTACTGGGATTACCTGTGTGAACCACTGTGCCCAGCCGAGAGGGATACTTATAGCACTAAATACTTACATTAAGAATAAAGATATCTCTAGTTTCAGCTACTTGAGAGGCTGAGGCAGTAGGATCGCTTGAGACCAGTCATTTGAGGTTGCCGTATGCTGTGCTGGCACCTGTAAGTAGCCACCATACTCCAGCCGGAGCAATGTGGTGAGGCCCTGACTCTAAAAATAATAAATAAATAAATATAAATTAAAAGAGAGCAGTCTCGTCTGGGCGTGGTGGCTCACGCCTGTAATTCCAGCACTTTGGAAGGCTGAGGCGGGTGGATCACGTGAGGTCAGGAGTTTGAGACCAGCCTGACCAACATGGTGAAACCCCATCTCTACTAAAAATACAAAAATTAGCTGGGTGTGGTGGCGGGCGCCTGTAATCCCAGCTACTTGGGAGGCTGAGGCAGGAGAATCACTTGAACCCGGGAGGTGGAGGTTGCAGTGAGCCAGGATTGCGCCGCTGCACTCCAGCCTGGGTGACAGAGTCAGGTCCATCTCAAAAAAGAAAAAAAAAATTAGGCAGGCGTGGTGGTGCATGCCTGTAATCCCAGCTACTTGGGGGGCTGAGGCAGAAGAATCGCTTGAACCTGGGAGGCAGAGGTTGCAGTGAGCCGAGATCCGTACCATTGCACTCCAGCCTGCGGGATAAGAGCGAAACTCTGTCTCAAAAAAAAAAAAAAAGAGAGAGACAGAAGTCTCAAATTAACCATTTATTGAGGTGGGTTCTGTGCTTGGTGCTGAGATGATAATTGTGAAGGCCCAGTCTCTTCCAAAGGGGCTTACAGCTTGAATGGGCACAGAAACAAGGAAAGGAGGAATTCACACACAGTGTGGTCAGGGGTGTAATTCACACACAGTGTGGTCAGGGGTGTAATTCATACACAGTGTGGTCAGGGGTGTAATTCACACACAGTGTGGTCAGGGGTGTAATTCACACACAGTGTGGTCAGGGGTGTAATTCACACACAGTGTGGTCAGGGGTGTTGGTTGAGGGTAGCCTAGGGCTAGGGTGTTGGCTTAGCCAGGTCAATACAGGCAGATGGCATCAAATCCAGGCTTGGGGAGCAAAGAAGTCTTCTCAGAGGAGAAGCTGCACCCTGATAGGTGAGGTGGGCCCCCCAAAATGGGGAGAGGGCTGTCTGGGCTCAGAAAGCTGGGACACGCAAAGGCGCTGAGGGGAAGAGGACATGGCCCATCAGGGCACTGTCAGTGTGGCCAGACAGAGCAGGCAAGGCGGGGGAGACCCTGGGAGACAGAGCCAGACCCAGAACGAGGGGCCCCTTCCCAGACTCTGAAGGAGTTTGGGCTTGATCCTAAGACAATTCAGAGCCAATGAAGAGTTTCAAGATGACAAGGTCTCATCTGTGTTTTGGGAAGACCCTTCCAACTGTTGGAGGAGGGCTGCTCCTAGATGCAGGGGGGCCAGGAGGGAGGGACCCAGTGGGCCATTTGGGAGAGGTGGACGCTGGACAGGGCAGGGGCGGCAGGCAGAGAAGAGGAGTCCACAGCTCCTGGGCGAAGATCGCCAGGATTTGAAGATGAGATCTGGAAACGACGGCCCGGGGACATCCAAGCTGAGCCTGGGCCAGTGGGTAAATAAGCGGTCATTCACTGAGTAGGGAACATGAAGGAACAGATGGAGATGCTTTGTGTTGCCTTTGGTGGGGACAGAGCAAAAATACAATGATGGCATTTCCATCTGGGAGATGGCGCATCAGGGGCCAGGAGGCACGTCTTAGCCGGGACATGGAGGTGACCTAATTGACATGTGGCTGTGGCTGCAATCGGGGATTTGGGAGAAACGCCACTGAGATGAATCAGAGGAGAAGGGCCAGAGACCAGGTCCTGGACGTGGGGATGTCCACATTTAAGGGGAAAACAGAAAAAGAAGGGTTGGGGAGAAGTCAAAGAGCCGGGAAGAAATCCAGGCGAGAACTGCACTCGTAACCAAGGGACAGAAGGTTTAGAGAGTGACATGCCAGGGAGAGCTGCAGCTCGCTGGGTTGGCAGAAGGGGCAGATGGTGAGTAGGGGGAGGTCATGGAGGAGGGATGAGGTGGAGGGGCAGGGAGTTCACGAGAGAGAGGAGGTGGACCTGGGAGAGGAGACAACTCCTTGGTTTTAGAGCAAAGAACCTTGAGTTAACATATTTACGCCAGGAGAGAGAATGTCTAGGCTTGAAGGGGGAGGTGAGGGCTGATGGCACAAGGCTTCCAGCAGAGGATGGACAGCTCGGCCTGGAATAGAGAGTGAGACACAGTTTCCACGGAGGTGGAGAAGGGGACACAGTCCCTCGTCTGTGATTAGATGCCAACGGAATCCAGGCACAAGGGAAAGAGGGGCAGCACCTGCCCTCTGGAGGCTTCCAGTCTAGCGGAAGCTGATGGGTGGGAGGCAGGTGCAGAAAGATGGGGATCAGGCCTGGGAAGCAGTGCAGGAGCCAGGAACACCCAGCCCTCTTCCTGTCCCTGGGGTGCCCAGCACCAGGGAGCATGAGTGGTGACCAGAGGTGCAGGTGGGTCCCCCCTGGTTAGTGGGAGAGTGGGGGAGGGCAGATGGAGTGGGGAGTCTTGAGTGACAAGCCAGCGCCCCTGGCACCCATCTCTGAGCATGGCAGACATGGTCCTGCCTCCACGGTGCTCCAGGTCCAGCTCAGCATCTTCCTTGGAGGGGCACCCCAGAGGGGCCCCCAGCCACATCCTGTAAAATATGGGCTTCTGATGACTCTCTGACCTGGCTCTTCCTCCATAGCTCTCAGCCCCCTTGGAAATCAATTTTAAAATGTGCACTTAAAGGTTTGGTTCACTACAAAGGGCAGGTGAACAAGACAGACACAAATGATCCTTGGGAGCCCACGTCAAGGGGTAGGAGGCAGACAAGTGAACAGACTGTGATGATCCAGCCCGCAGAGGGCCGGTAGGCCCACATATAGCAGGAGCGCCCACCCTCACATGGAGGGGGAGGGAGGGCTTCCTGGAGGAGGCGACATCTAATGCTACCCAAAGGGTAAGTAGCAGCTCATGAGTTAGGCAGGTGAAAAAATCTTCAGGCAGAGAGAACCACAGGTGACACAAGCCAGCATGCCTGGGTTCCAATCCCAGGCCCTCCCCACCCCGACCCCCGGCGGTGGGACTTCTCTGTGTCTCAGTTTCCCGCTCTTTAAGAGGGAGCCAGAACAGCACCAACTCCATAGGTCTGAGAGGACCACACACTTGGAAGACGGCCCTGCGCCTAGTGTGGCCGCCACTCTGAGAGCGCCCGTCACCATCGCCCGGAGGAGGAGGGAGGTCGCTGTCGCCAAGAGCCCGAGGACCAGAGCCGGCGGTCAGACCCTTCTCCACGCCCTCCAGGCTCTCGGCCTCGGTCCTCAGAGGGCAACGGCAGTGGGCCCTTCCTCCCAGAACTGCTAAAACATCGCCCTGCGGAAAGGGCCCCTCGCAGCCCAAGACGCCGGGGAAGCGCTGGAGGCGCCGAAGACTCGGTCGGGGGTCTCGGGCGCAGCCCCAGGACCTGCGGAACCCGGCCCGGTGCGCAGACGCGCACACTCCAGCAGGTGGCGCTGCCTCCCCTGGAACGAGTCGGCTCCCGCAGGCGGCGCCCGGGGCGGGAGGGAGGCAAAGGGAGGGACCGGAGAGCAGGGCGCCTCCCTCTGCCCCGCCGGCCCAGGCGTCCGATGCGGCCCCTGCGAGCCCCCTCCCCGGGAGTTCTCATTGCCTCCCCCTGCCCCCGCTCCCGGCCGCTCCGATGCCTGTGGCAACCGGGATCCCGCGCCCGCCTCACCTGGGTGCGGGGGTGCAGGGTGACCTTTCACGCCGGGCCAACGCCAGTACCCCCTTCTCAGCACACCTGGGTCCCCGAGCGGGCCAGGTGGTTCCGTGGGGGCGGCCGCCACCGGCACACCTGGGCTGGATCCCCGCACACCTGGGTCCGCCCGTGTCGGGCTCGGGTACAAGTCCTGGCCGTGACACCTGGACCCCTCCACAGCCCTGCGGCTCCTCACTTCCCCCCTGCAGGGGTGGTTAGAGGAGCCACTCTAATAAGATCTAATAAGATCCCTGCAGGGCTGGTTAGAGGAGCCACTCTAACGCACCTGGAAGGTAACCGGCCATTCACAGGAATAGGACACCTGTCCCCTTCGTGCTAAAGGACGTTGGGGACAAGCAGGCCCCATCCAAAACATGGGGAAAGTGACCACTGTCATCCCAGGGAAGAGGTAAGAGGGAGCACAGGACTTGGTAGGGGCAGCTGTCACGGGGATGAGATGGAGAAGAGTCATGGGACCACCTATAGCCCTGTGTCCCCAGAGCCACATGCCACAAACACACATACAAACATATACACATGTGCATAGGGACACACATTCACATGCTCATATGCACACATTCATACACACATATATGAACACACATGCATAGACATACATGCAAACACACGCTCATATGCACACATTCATATACACATATAAACACACATGCACATACACGCACATACACACACGCTCAATGCACACATTCATATGCACATATAAACACATGCACACATACATGCACACACATACATATACAATGCTCATATGCACACATATACACATATAAACACATACACACACGCTCATATGCACACATTCATATACACATAAACACATGCACAGACACACGCACATACACGCTCAATGCACACATTCATATGCACATATAAACACACATGCACACACATACATATACAATGCTCATATGCACACATACACATATAAACACACATGCACACACATACACCTGCTTATATGCACACGTTCATATACATGTATATAGACATGCACAGACATGCTCATGCACACATATACACATATGTACACATACACACGTGGACACATACGCACTTGCATAGACATACACATGCTCATATGCACACATACACGTAAACACGCACACACACATACGCATGCTCATATGCACACATTCATACACACATGTACACATACATGCACATACACATGGGCATACAGACACAGACACATGCTCATATGCACACATCCATACACACATATGTACACATACATGCACATACACGTGGACACATACATGCACACATATACACATACACATGTGTGCACACAATGTGTACACAGATATACACATATATATTTACACATGCTCATACACATACTGACATACATACTCATATAAACATATGCACACACACACGTACACACCAGGCCAAAGGCTGGTCTCGGCCACAGGGAAGCCCACAGCTGCTCCCTGGGGCTCTGTGGAGGAGAGCGAGGGGACTAGGTCTGGGCGGGCTGTGCGTGCCGCTGTGTCCTGCCAAAATGACTTGAAACCCTTCTCTCTTCCGGGCACTGTGCTGTCTCTCAGTCACGTCACCTCCTCACCATGCACCCGACCTTTGCGGAGATGAACTGTGACACCTGTCCCGCGCCTACACGGACTCTCAGAGTCTGGCTGGGCCCTCCACATTTCCTTCCCAAAGCTCTAACCACATCCCCTCTCCTTTCCCCAACTCCCTCTGCTCCCTCTCTTTTTCTCTCCACCCTCCTGTCTTCTACAATGTTGATCACCTCTGCCCTCCCCTCCCCGTCCCCTCTATCACCCTGCTCTGATTCTTATCACTCTGCTCCACGCTCCTGGCTGAGCCCCCCAGCCCAGCCCACCCTCCATGCCTCACTGCTCCAATCATGTCAAAACCCCAGTAGGCCACAGGGTTTCAAAGTGGATTCTTTTTTTTGTTTGTTTGTTTCATACTAACCTCACTATGGGGATTTTTCAAAAGTAATTTATTTTTAGTTATGATTATTATTATTTTTTGTAGAGACAAGGTCTCACTGTGTTGCCCAGGCTGGTCTCGAACTCCTGGCCTCAAGCAATCCGACCACCTCAGCCTCCCAAAGTGCTGGGATCACAGGGTTGAACCACCGCATCCGGCCTTCAAAGTGGATTCTTAAGGAACCAGTTTTATAGAATACTACACACAGGCGGCCCTGAGGTTTGGAACCAAGGCTGTAAATGCATCTGGGGACCTCCTTCCATTAAGAAATGCTTTGAATGCTGGAGGAACGTTTATTATGTAGTGGGGTGACTGCACTGAGCCCACATGGGGTTCAGCCCCTGGTGTGATGAGTGTGCAGGGAGAGACTGTGGAAGCCCAGCCATGTGTTGCCATGGATTGTTTTGGGGTGAGGGGATATTGGTGACAGGCTGGCAGGGAGCTGGGCGCTCACCCTGTGCCAATGTGTCCTCCTGGGTTTACTTGGTGCCTCCAATAGGGAAGAGGTAGCTCTAACAATGGAGAGGACCAGCTCTCACCTCAAAACCAGGGACCAACCTCAGAATCCCGAGAGTCATGATGTGCCTTCATTTTTTTTTGGAGACAGAGTCTCACTCTGTCACCCAGGCTGAGTGCAGTGGTGCAATCACAGCTCACTGCAGCCTCAACCTCCTGAGCTCAGGAGATTCTCCCACCTCTGCCTCCCAAGTAGCTGGGATTACAGGCACATGCCAACACACCTAGCCACTTTTTAAAAAATTTTTGTAGCAACAGGATCTTACTGTATTGCCCAGGCTGGTCTCAGAACTCCTAGACTTAAGCGGTCCTCCTGCCTCGGGCTTCCAAAGTGCTGGGATTACAGGTGTGAGTCACCACATCTGGCCCATAATGTGCTTCTGATGACCTATAAGACCCTCTGGCCTGAAAGCACAACCTGAATCTTATCAGACCTAGTTTAGCTCTAACTTCAACTTCATAGGCCACAACAAGCAACAGCGTATGTATACCACAGCCAGAGGAAGCAGCCAGGCTGACCCTGAATGGATGCCTTGCAAGTCCACAGCCCGCCAACCCAGTCTCTTCCACAGTCAGACATGAAAACACAGGATGGCCGGATGCGGTGGCTCACATCTGTAATCTCAGCACTTTGGGAGGCTGAGGCGGGCAGATCACCTGAGGTCAGGAGTTCGAGACCAGCCTGGCCAACATGGCAAAACCTCGTCTCTACTAAAAATACAAAAATTAGCCGCACGTGGTGCCAGGCACCTGTAATCCCAGCCACTCAGGAGGCTGAGGCAGGAGAATCGTTTGAACCTGGGAGGTGGAGGCTGCAGTGAGCTGAGGTTGTGCCACTGCACTCCAGCCTGGGCAACAGAATGAGACTCCGTCTCAAAAAAAAATTAAAAGAAAAAAAAAACAAAGGAGGCAGCAGGTTAAAGGTGACTAAGAGATGAAACCACCAAATGCAACGCATGCACCTTATCAGGATCCTGGGTTTTGTTTGTTTATTTTTATTTTTTAAGACAGAGTCTTGCTCTGTCGCCCAGGCTGGAGTGCAGTGGCATGATCTCAGCTCACTTCAACCTCCTCTTCCCAGGTTCAAGTGATTCTCCTGTCTCAGCCTCCCAAGTAGCTGGGATTACAGGCATGCTCCACCAGGCCCGGCTAATTTTTTTTTGTGCTTTTAGTAGAGGTGGGATTTCACTACATTGGTGAGACTGGTCTCGAACTCCTGACCTCAGATAATCCGCCCACTTCAGCCTCCCAAAGTGCCGGGATTACAGGCATAAGCCACCGCGCCCAGCCTGGGATCCTGTTTTGAACAAACCCAGCTGGAAAAGCCATTTGGGAGACAACCAAACAAACATGGACTGGGCAGGCCATGATATTAGAAAATCAGGGTTAATTTTGTTAGCTGTGATCATGGTATTGTGGTTCAGTAAAAGAAAATGTCATTTTTAAAAGAAAATGTCTAAAAAAGATTTAGGGGGAAATGTCACAGAGACAGTAACTGACTTTAGATTAGTTTAGAAAAGAAAACCAGATGAAGCAAATATGGCAAAATGTTAGCGATTGTTAAATATAGAGGCTGGATCCGGAGGCGTTCATAAGGCTGCTGTCTGCACTCTCCGGAGGTTGAGATTTTCCATAATAAAGAGTTGTTTTCAACGTTTAATGAAGTGTGCACACAGGGGAGGACGCAGGCGTGAAAGGACAATGTTTAGAACACATTTACAGTCACACAACAATAAGGAGCGATTTATGGGTCTTCCGGAAGAAGTGACTGGGTTTGAAATTCCACGTGGGTGCCTGGGGGAGTGTGCACTTGTCAGAGGACAAAAGCCCTCGACGCTCTTGCGTTCACTCAGTAGCCATGGTTCACGCGCCCCACGGCAAGTGCTGCGAGGGGGAGAGACACAGGGAAATGGCCCTGAAATGGCACAGGGAGGTGCCCAGGCTCCGAGCAGCCCGGAGGACTCTGGAACCGTGGGGAAGCTGCCGGTATGGAGCCCAGTGAGCTCCTGGAACAGCACTACCGCTCCCCAAGACCTCCACCCACTTCATCGCTTATGGCACCTGCTGCGGGGTTAGGTGCCTGTCCACCTGCCAGGCAACCTAGTTCAAGCTGTTCCTCCAATCACATGACCCTGCAGACCAGCCCTGTGCCCTACCAGGCGGCGCCAGCCACCCCAGCTCACTTCTGGTGCCCTCAGGAGGATTTTGTCCAGTTGTTTGAGGCTGGCAGAGGTTTGTTGGGACACAGGGGGGTGTACAACAGGCCCCCCTGAGCCATTTCTGTTGAAGAGGTGTTTACTTGCCCTCCCAATTAGTTCCCAAGAGACTGGAAGTGTTGGAGTCTTGTTAGGAAAAGTGTGGATAAACTGTAAACGCCTGAGAAAGGTCTTTGGGCTGAAGGCTTTCTGGTGATGGTGGCCAAAGGGTCCTCCCAGGCTGGCACCCCACAGCGTGCAGAGCAGTCTAGTCCACAAAAGGAGCCACACTCGCTCATGTGTCCCCACATCAACCATCCCCAAAACCGGACTCAAGGGCAGAAGTGTCGTGGCAGCGTCTCTAAGCAGCGCGGGCTAATGCAGAGGCCGCTGCATTTACCTGGGGTGCCGCGCACAGCCCAGACGTGCTGGGGAGTGAGCGATTCTGGGGTTGGCCCTTTAGAAGTGCTGGAGGTGTCATGTGAAATCCTAACTCGGGGGCAGCCTCCCCAGGAAGCAGGCCGGGTCTAGGGGGCTAGACTCTTTGATTTTTAACTATCCAATGCAATTCTGCAATAGATATTGGAGAGTGAATTTTAAACTGCTGTGTTCATTAGCTTGCCTCTCAATTATCAGCAGAGCTTTTGGCAGGACGGAAGTTGATTTATGTTTGTTTGCATGGAGGGGCCCCTAAAATCCCACCCCGCTTCAGCCTTGGACAGTCCTGTGCCTTTTCTAACAGATGGAGTGGAACAAGCTGAGTCACCCCACGCCGGGCCCGCTTGGGAACGCCGGGGTGGGGGTACTGCTCGGCTGACCCTCGGGTTTGGGTTTGCTGAGCAGGGTGGACAGGCCAACAAAGGGGGTCTACCAAGGTGCTGGGTCAGGGAGAAGCAACGTCCAGGGGGGCTCGCTGGAGGGGAACCTGGTGCCTCTAATGGGCTCCCTCCCCCCGCCGCACCCCCTGCAGTCACCATCTTCCCACAACATGTTCAAAATAAATTCTTACTAATCCATAATGGAACTGGTTCTCTTTGGGGCCACATCAGAACTGAGAACAACCTCAAGGCGGATGCGGCTGAGAGGGACTGCCTCCTGCGGGCGCCGCCACACACACTGGGAGTCTGCCACGTCCAAGGGACTGGATATGCTTCTTCCTTCCACACCTGCGCCCCCCACCCCCAGATGGCTTCATGCCCTCAGCAGCGGCTGGAGAAGAACCCGGAGGCTCAGATAGTAAAAACTCCTAGAGGCGCAGATGACGCTCCTTAGGAAAATGCAAAACTGAGGCTCATGCTTTCGTCTAAGCTGAAGTCCCTCTTGCTTGAGCACTTAAGCCCATAAGGCCTGATATTTCCCCAGGGGGAAGCACGGATTCTTATCATGCGCACAGTTGAGGCTCCATGTTCTACTCCCTTCCTCATGGAAGAGATGATCTGACTTTTAAAATGACAGTATGCAGGCGTGGTGCAGAGGTTCACACTGGTAATCCCAGCACTTTGGGAGGCCAAGGCAGGAGGGTTGCTTGAGCCCAGGAGTTCAAGACCAGCCTGGGCAACACGGTGAAACCCCATCTCTACAAAAATACAAAAATTAGCCAGGCATGGTGGTGCACACCTGTAATTCCAGCTGAGGGAGGCTGGAATTGGGAGGCTGAGGCAGGAGAACCACTTGAATTCAGGAGGCGGAGGTTGCAGTGAGCTGAGATCATGCCGCTGCACTCCAGCCTGGGCGACAGAGCTAGACTCCAGCTCAAAAAAAAAAAAAAACCGAAACTCCCATGGGCTCTGTTGCATGCCTGCCCCCCGGGGAGGCTGGTGAGCCCGGCCTGGGAGTAGAGCCTCTGCTGCCCAGTGCTCTCCAATCTCCTTGTTTTGTGCCAGAGCCACTAACTCTAGGATTCTAAAATTGAATGCATGCATGAATTCATGGATCCTGTCCTAGTACAGACAAACTCAATCCTTAGGGTATGTCGGATCCCCCAGTGCACACACACTGCTTCTCTCCAGAACTCTTAAATACGTGTGTGCTTTCAGAAAATTCCTCACCAGGCCGGGCGCGGTGGCTCACGCCTGTAATCCCAGCACTTTGGGAGGCCGAGGCGGGTGGATCACGAGGTCAGGAGATCGAGACCATCCTGGCTAACAAGGTGAAACCCCGTCTCTACTAAAAATACAAAAAATTAGCCGGGCGCGGTGGCGGGCGCCTGTAGTCCCAGCTACTCGGGAGGCTGAGGCAGGAGAATGGCGTGAACCCAGGAAGCGGAGCTTGCAGTGAGCCGAGATTGCGCCATTGCAGTCCGCAGTCCGGCCTGGGCAACAGAGCGAGACTCCGTCTCAAAAAAAAAAAAAAAAAAAAAAAAAAAAAAAAAAAAAGAAAATTCCTCACCATGTGTAATTTCACGTATTAAACAGAAAATCAGGAAGCGATCACAAGAGAAATCTGGCATTGGAGAAGAATTCTTACTGGGGGTTCTTTCAACAGCCTTTTCCCAGAACACATTTTAAAATATGAGTTCACGCACCGGAAAGGTGTTTATTGAACAAACTGCGGTCTGCCTGCCTCATGAGAGCAACATGGTATGCACCAGGGGGTGGAGTGGAAGTGCTCTTTTTTTTTTTTTTGAGATGGAGTCTTGCTGTATCGCCCAGGCTGGAGTGCAGTGGTGCTATTTCAGCTCACTGCAGCCTCAGCCTCCCAGGTTCAAGCAATTCTTCTGCCTCCGCTTCTTGAGTAGCTGGGACTACAGGTGCATGCCACCATGTCCAGCTAATTTTTGTATTTTTAGTAGAGACGGGGTTTCACCATATTGGCCAGGCTGGTCTTGAACTCCTGACCTCGTGATCCACCTGCCTTGACCTCCCAAAGGTTTGGGATTACAGGCATGAGCCACCATGCCCGGCCTGAAGTGTTTTGTTTTTTTTTTTTTGAGATGGAGTCTCGCTCTGTCGCCCAGGCTGGAGTGCAGTGGCGCTATCTCGGCTCACTGCAAACTCCGCCTCCCGGGTTCAGGACATTCTCCTGCCTCAGCCTCCCGAGTAGCTGGGACTACAGGCACCCACCACTGCGCCTGGCTAATTTTTTCTATTTTTAGTAGAGACGGGGTTTCACCGGGTTAGCCAGGATGGTCTCGATCTCCTGACCTCATGATCCGCCCGCCTCAACCTCCCAAAGTGCTGGGATTACAGGCGTGAGCCACCGCGCCTGGCCTGAAGTGTTTTTTATATTGACAATGAAGACACCACCATAAAGCTAAGCGAGAGAAATAGGATGGATGCTGGCATTATTCAGAAGTGAACCCTTTGCCATCTGGCCCCAGAGTCCCAGTTCCTGATCTGGAAGCCTGTGTTCTCTGCCCCATCAGGGCGTGGACCTTCCATCTTAGGAGAAGCTGCTCAGATTATGCTAACGAGGGCAGGATCTGGTGGAAGAGTGTCTACACCTGCCAAGCCCTTGGAAAAAGCTTCTGCAGGGGCCTGGAATTGAATCACCTTGGCTCTTTGTACCACCAAGGAGATTAATGTCTGTCCTGTCTGAGCATTGTGATCTCAGGGTCGTCTGTGGGAGATTTCAACCTTAGGTGGATTCCAGTCTCATCTTTCATCAGAATCACGCACACCACACCTGCTGCCCCATTTCCGAAGATGGAGCCCCAATCTGGGAGCTTGTGCTAGGGGCCCAGCCCCAGCTCCATCCCAGGGGCTCACTGTGTGACTTCAGTCAAGTGTCTTAACCTTTCCGGGCCTCAGTTTCATCCTCTCAGTCATAAAAGTGCTAGTTTAGATCAATGATTCTCAGCTAGGGGCAGTTTTGCCCACATGGGGAACATTAAACAGTGTCTGGCTGGACACGGTGGCTCACACCTGCAATCCTAGCACTTTGGGAGGCCGAGTTGGGAGGATCACTTGAGATCAGGAGTTCGAGACCAGCCTGGCCAACATGGTGAAACCCTTTCTCTACTAAAAATTTAAAAATTAGCCAGGCGTGGTGGTGGGTGCCTGTAATCACAGCTACTCGGGAGGCTGAGGCAGGAGAATCGCTTGAACCCAACCCAGGAGGTGGAGGTTGCAGTGAGCTGAGATCATACCACTGCACTTCTGCCCGGGTGACAGAGCAAGACTCCGTCTTGAAAAAACAAAAAAAAAAAAACAGTGTCTGGAGACATTGTTGGTTGTCACAGCTGGGTGGGTGCTAGTGGCATCTGGTGGGTAGAGGCCAGAGACGCTGCTAAACATCCTAGAGTGCACACAGGACGGCTCCCCCCGCAGAGAATGACCCTGCACAGCATGTCAGCCGTGCCTGCTGAGAAACCTGCCATAGACAAACCCAGCCCATTGCTGGCTGCCACGGTGGTCAGGACGGCCCAACAGCACCAAGACCGTCCCTAACTCTCGGTGGGCAGGACCTGAACTAGGGAGGTGGAGAAGGCTCACTGCCAAGCTCACCACTGTCCCTGATGCCTTCCAGGGAACTCTGGTGATATTCCAGTAGGATTTCCTTGGAAACATCCTCCTGCTCTGCAAACACTGGAGATTGCATGAGGAGCAGATGGCTGAGCCCTGAGCATGTGACAGCCAGCGCTGGGAACTCAGTGGGACAAAAGGTCACACTGGGGCATCAAGGTGACCAAGTCCTGGACCTGCTGTCTTTCCTCCATTCTGCCTTCTTTTTGGTTTCTGTATGAGTCCGTTCTCACACTGCTCTAAAGAAATACCTGACACTGGGTAATTTATAAAGGAAAGAGGTTTAATTGACTCACAGTTCCACATGGCTGGGGAGGCCTCATGAGACTTACAATCATGGCAGAAAGCAAGAGAGAAGCAAAGGCATGTCTTACATGGCAGCAGGCAAGAGAGAGTGAATGAGCGAAGGAGGAAGAGGCCCTTATAAAACCATCAGATCATCTGAGAACTCACTCACTATCTCGGGAACGGTATAGGGGAACCGCTGCCATGACCCAATCACCTCCCACCAGGTCCCCCCTTCAACACATGGGAATTATGGGGATCACAATTGGAGATGAGACTTGGGTGGGAACATAGAGCCAAACTAAATCACTAAATCAGTCTCTTTCTTTCTTTTCCTTTTTTTTTTTTTTTTTTTTTTTTTGAGACGTAGTCTTGCTCTGTCACCCAGGCTGGAATGCAGTGGTGTGATCTTGGCTCACTGCAACCTCTGCCTCCTGGGTTCAAGCAATTCTGCCTCAGCCTCCCTAGTAGCTAGGATTATAGGCGCCTGCCACCATGCCTAGCTAATTTTTGTATTTTTAGTACAGATGGGGTTTCGCCACGTTGGCCAGGCTGGTCTTGAACTCCTGACCTCAGGTGATCCGCCCGCATCAGCCTCCCAAAGTGCTGGGATTACAGGCATGAGCCACTGCACCCAGCCTCTTTTCTCTTCTGTTTTCTTTCTCTCTCTTTTCTTTCTCTCTCCTTTCTTTCCTTCCTTTTTTTTCCTTCCTTCATTTTCCTTCCTTCTTTCTTTCTTTTTTGACACAGGGTCTCTCTCTGGAGTGCAGTGGTGCCATCACAGCTCCCTGCAGCCTTGACCTCCCAGGCTCAAGCAATCCTCCCACCTCAGCCTCCCAAATAGCTGGGACTACAGGCATATGCCACCATGGCCGGCTAATTTTTTTGTATTTTTTTGGTAGCGACAAAGTCTCCCTATGTTGCCCAGGTTGGTCTTGAACTCCTGGGCTCAAATGATCCTCCCACCTTGGCCTTCCAAAGTGCTGTGATTACAGGCATGAGCCACTGCACCTGGCCTTGCTGGTTCTTTAAGAGCCCCAGCTAGGACACTTGGAGACGAATGGGTCTTGCCTTTTTACCTCAGCTGGCTAACACTACAATGCCCCTTAGATTGAGAGATGTTCACTACATATTTTGAGAGACAGAAAAACCAATATTCTTTAGTTTGTTTTTTTTATTTTGGGTTTTTTGTTTTGGGCTTTTGTTTTGTTTTTTGTTTTTTTCTTGAGACGCAGTTTCGGTCTTGTCACCCAGGCTGGAGTGCAGTGGCACAATCTCGGCTCACTGCAACCTCCGCCTCCCAGGTTCAATCAATTCTCCTGCCTCAGCCTCCTGAGCAGCTGGGATTACAGGCGCCTGCCACCACGCCTGGCTAATTTTTGTATTTTTAGTAGAGGGGGTTTCGCCATGTTGGCCAGGCTGGTCTCGAATTCCTGACCTCAGGTGATGCACCTGTCTCAGTCTCCCAAACTGCTGGGATTATGGGCATGAGCCACCATGCCCAGCCTGTTTGTTTTTTGAGAGAGGGTCTCTTGTTCTGTCACCTAGGCTGGAGTGCAGTGCTGCAATCTTGGCTCGCTACAACCTCCACATCCTGGGCTCAAGCGATTCTTCCACCTCAGTCTCATAAGTAGCTGAGACTGCAGGCTCGCGCCACCATGTCTGGCTACCAGGTTCTATTTAGTTTTTTTAAAATAAAAATCTGCATGCCTCTTTCAAATCTGTAGTGGGAATCAGACCCCGCACAGGAAATGTCCATCAACTCCAGGGGCCCGGAAATGGCACTGGCCAAAAACACACGCCTGGCAGAGCCGAGCTGGTTTCCGGAAGAATGTGTCAGCAAAGCATCCCCACTTTTCTCCAGCTTGCATTTTCTCTTCAGCTTTCTCTTACGCTTTTCCAAACCACACAGCTTCTTGGGAGGCATGTTGAAGTGTTTAAAAATGAAGCAATAAAAATAAATCACTTGTTCTCGGAAGACAGCCGGCTGGTTATTTAGCTGCATGTTTCAGCGGACTAAATGCTGACACAGGGCTGTTCCTCGGGCACCCAGGCAGCTGTGCCGCAGACAAGGTGCCTCAGAAAAGACTCTTGTCATGTCCACCAAAGGACATTCTGCTCCCTGTGGTGGCCAAAAACCCCTTCACGCTGGGGCTACACAATGTGATGTTAGCACTGTGTTTTTTTTATTCCTGGGTTATTTCCACACTCCTTTTTTTTTTCTTTTGGAGACAGTTTCGCGCTTGTTGCCCAGGCTTGAGTGCAATGGTGTGATCTCCGCTCACTGCAACCTCCGCCTCCCAGGTTCGAGTGATTCTCCTGTCTCAGCCTCCCAAGTAGCTGAGATTACAGGTGCCCATCACCACACCCAGCTAATTTTTTGTAGAGAGGAGTTTTCACCATGTTGGCCAGGCTGGCCTCGAACTCCTAACCTCAGGTGATGCACCCGCTTTGGCCTCCCAGAGTACTGGGATTACGGGCATGAGCCACCACGCCTGGCCACCACACTCCTCATAATTGTCTAATTGTCCCAGGCAGCCACCCAGCCGGCCCTGGCCCTCCCTGGTGATCTGCTGGGGCTCCTCTCACCACCCCGATGCCCTTCCCACCCTAGACCCAGCATCAGTTCCCTAAAGGGTTTCTCCAGAGTTTCAAAGAGCTGGCCATAAGCTTTGTCATGCAGACACTGAATCTAGAGGACCATTTAGGACTCATTAAAAGCTCGACCTCACTCCTTACACAAAACCCACCAGATGCATCAGAGATTTCAGTGTAAAAAAATAAAGCCATGAAGGCCGGGTGCGGTGGCTCACGCCTGTAATCCCAGCACTTTGGGAGGCCGAGGCAGGAGGATCACTTGAGTTCGAGACCAGCCTGGCCAACGCAGTGAAACCCTGTCTCTACTAAAGATACAAAAATTAGCTGGGCATCATGGCACGTGCCTGTAATCCCAGCTACTTGGGAGGCTGAGGCACGACAATCACTTGAACTCGGAGGGGAAGGTTGCAGTGAGCCGAGATGGCACCACTGCACTCCAGCCTTGAGTGAGACTCTGCCTCTAAACAAAATAAAAATAAAATTTTAAAAAGCCATGAAAGTACGAGAAAAAAAGGTAGGAGGAGAATTAAACATGCAAAAGTCGTTTCCAAGCTGATACAAAACCCAGAGGCTACTGAGAAAGAGAATACCTTTGACCTCATAAATATTACGACTTTCATTGCAGCAGGTGGGGTTGAGGGGAGGAAGTCAAAGTCAAATGAGAAAAGGCAGCTGTTTCCCATCTCACTCAGAACTCAAGCCAAAAAGCTGGTGTCCTTACCAAGACCCATAAGGCCTTGCAGGACCTGACCGGCCCCCCACACCCGCCAAGTCCCGCTGACCTCATCCCTGTATTTGTCAGAATGAACTCATTTTTGCTGACCTCATCCCTCTATTTGTCAGAATGAACTCATTTTTGCTGACCTCATCCCTGTATTTGTCAGAATGAACTCATTTTGCTGACCTCATCCCTGTATTTGTCAGAATGAACTCATTTTTGCAGTGGTGACAAATAAGCCCTGATGTCTCCAAGACACGATACACTACAGATTTACTTCTCGCTCACGCTAAGTCCAGAGCGAGCCAGGCAGCTCCCCAGAGCAGCAGCGGCTCCACGCGGTGACTCACCCATCCAGGCTGCCACAATCTTGTTTCAACAAACTCAATGCGTGGCCTCCAGCCATCATCAAGAAGCAGAAGGCAGGCCAGGCATCGCTCACCTGTTCCTCATGCCTCTGCCCAGGAGTGGCCCACGTTCCTTCCCGTCGTGGGGGCCTGGGCCAACTGCGCGGTGCCGCCTGTCTGTAGCGGGGCCGGTTATGGGGGTGGCCATGAATTATTTGGTGAATGTGCCTCCCTCTCCCGCAGCTCACTCGCCCGGCTACACTGACTCTGGTGCTTTATCTTGAACACCCTGAACTCCTGTCTCATGGCCTTTAAATTAGCTCTTCTCTCTTTCTGGAATGTTCTTCTCCAGGGAATCTGCTTGGCTGGTTCCCTTACCTCCCTCAGTGTAATTCAACAGAAAAGCATCAAAGAATGTAATTAGAACATGGGCAAGAGATATGAAATATTTTACCAAAAAGGATATACGGATGGCAAATAAGCACGTGAAAAGACGTTCAATATCGTGAGCCATTAGGGAAATTCACATTACGACTACAATAAGATATCACTGCGTTAACTATCAGAACGGCTGAAACAAAAAATGGTGGCAACACCAAATGCTAATGAGGATGCAGAGAAATAAGATCACGCACACACTGCTGGCGGGAACAGTACAGTTACTCTGGAAAACAGTCTGGCAGTTTCTTTTCTTTTTTTGAGACGGGATCCCACTTTGTTACCCAGGCTGGGGTGCAGTGGTGTGATGTCGGCTTATTGCAACCTTGACCTCCTGGGCTCAAGTGATCCTCCCACCTCAGCCTCCTAAGTAGCCGGGACCACAGGCACATGCCACCATGCCTGACTAATTTTCTGTATTTTTAGTAAAGATGGGATTTCACCATGTTGCCCAGGCTGGTCTCAAACTCCTGAGCTCATGTGACCCTCCTGCCTTGGCCTCCCAAAGTGCTGGGATTACAAGCGTGAGCCACTGCGCCAGGACAGCAGTTTCTTATCAAACAAAACACGCAACTAACTACCACATGACACGGCGGCTATTGTACTGCCTGGAAAAACGAAAGTTTACGTCCACATAAAAATCAGTACACCTGCCTCAGAAGGAGCAGGCATCAAAAAAAAATTGGGACTGGGCACAGTGGCTCATGCCTGTAATCCCAGCACTTTGGGAGGCCAAGGCAGGTGGATCACTTGAGGTCAGGAGTTCGAGACCAGCCTGGCCAACATGGCGAAACCCCGGTCTCTACTAAAAATACAAAAATTGGCTGGGCGTGGTGCTGCACACTTGTAATCCCAGCTACTCGGGTGGCTGAAGCAGGAGAATCACTTGAACCTGGAAAGCGGAGGTTGCAGTGAGCTGAGATCACGTCACTGCACTCCAGCCTGGGCAACAGAGTGATACTCTGTCTCAATAAATAAATAAATAATAAGACTGGTGGATTGTCCCAACATTGATAGCCTGGTTGTGGTAGCGAATTATAATTTTGCAAGATGTTGCCATTGGCGGAAAATGAGTAAAGGGTCAAAGGAATTTCTCAGTGTGATTTCTTGCAATTGCATGTGGATCTACAATTATCTCCATCAAAATTTTAATTAAAAAACAGACACAAGGGCTGGGCGTGGTGGCTCACACCTGTAATCCCAGCACTTTGGGAGGCTGAGGTGGGCGGATCACCTGAGGTCAGGAGTTCGAGACCAGCCTGGCCAACATGGTGAAAACCCATCTCTATTAAAAATACCAAAAAAATTAGCCGGGCATTGTGGCCAGTGCCTGTAATCCCAGCTACTCGGGAGGCTGAGGCAGGAGAATAATCGCTTGAACCTGGGAGGCGGAGGTTGCAGTGAGCCGAGATGGCGCCACTGCACTCCAGCCTGGGCAACAAGAGCGAAACTCCGTCTCAAACAAACAAACAAACAAAATAGACACAAGGCTTTTCCTTCATTATTGTGAAACCCAATTCAATTGCTTCATTTTGGTTTTGCTGTTTAAAAAAATAAAATAAATTAAAATAAATAAACCAGGGTGGCATTACTAGCAAACTTGTAATCACACAGAATCCACTTTGGCTGGAAGACCCGGCTTCTGTGCAAACACTCTGGAGTCCTGTCTTCATTGACTCTGGATCTTGTGGCAAGAGAAGGTGCACAACACCGTCACCATCTGAGCACAGGGAAACACGGCCCATCTCCTCAGCTAAGTCCTAATTAGCTTAGTCCTGTGGTCGTAAAACCAAATTCCACAGGAGTGGAGAATGTCAAGAGGGGGCCGTGCACAGAATTACAATAGGTCCCTGTCCTTGCTCTTCTTGCATAGCTCAGATGTTCTCTATTTTGCTTTCAAAAGCAAAGGGCCTTCCATCCCTTCCATCCATTGCTCTCTCCATAGAGTCAGCAAAGATCAGTAGTTCATAAACTAGGAGCACAGCAGCATGTGGGTCCTTCACTCATCTACACCCTGAAAATGTTCTTGAAAAGTTCTCAAGCAAGAAGCCAACTGCTCCTCTTCCTGCGGCCCCAGCAAATCTCAGCAGGCCCCAAAGGCTGGAACCAGACAAGCGGGCCCATACATCCCCATGTCCTAGAGCAGGAACCTGGGCCACCCCTGCAGGAATCCCTGAGGATCAGGAAATCGGTTCACCAGCGTGGCTCGTCATCCAACCCCACTACAGACAGGTTTTAGATCAGTGACATTCCCAGAAGTATTTCCCCTCCATTCCCAGATCACCTGCTGTATTAGTCCATTTCCACACTGCCATAAAGATACTACCCGAGACTAGGTAATTTATCAGCCAGGGAGGTTTAATTGACTCACAGTTCCACATGGCTGGGGAGACCTCAGGAAACTTACACTCACGGCAGAAGGGGAAGCAGACGCCTTCTTCGCAAGGCAGCAGGAGAGAAAGAGAAGGAATAGGAAGGGAGAAGAGCCCCTTATAAAACCATCAGACCTCGTGAGAACCCACTCACTATCACGAGAACAGCACTGGGGAAGCTGCCTCCATGATCCAATCACCTCCCTCCCTCCACATGTGGGGATTACAATTCAAGATGAGATTTGGGTGGGGACACAGAGCCAAACCAGATCACCTGGCTCACCCAGACCTGGGACCTGGATGCCCCCTCACTTCTCAGTGTCAGGCTACTCCTCCATAAGCAGGCATCCAAGGACCCTCAAGGACCGTCGGTGGCTCCCTCCCTCCTTCCATCAAGCCTTCACCGGGTGGTTGGCCCCAAGGCCCCCATCCATGGCCCCTGCCTGCTGCTGTCTTCTGGGTTCCCTGTGCTTGCCTTCAGGGAGCTCCCAGCCTTCTGGCCATGAGCCTCGAAGTCCGGGGCTGTCTCCTCCCTCGGGGTCCTGGAAGTATCTTTCTTGCACCTGCCCCCTCCCAGGCAGGCACCTCTGAAGTCCCCCCAGTTGGGGTCCCTCGTGCTCCTAGGGCTCCTCTCCAATCCACTGCCTGCTGGGGGAGGGATGCATCCGGGGGCCTGGTCCACGGAGCCAGGCCACCGTGAAGGCCCATCTCACCTGGCACAGGCCTGGTGGACACCGGCTGGCCGCAGCATCACCGAGCCTTCCAGAGGCAGGGTGCCGTCCCCACAGGCCGGCCCGGGCAGCATCTGCTGCTTCCCGCTGTGGCCAGCAGGCAAAAGAATCCCTCCCTGAGTCCCAGGAAGGGAGGGAAAGTCCAGACTAGCACTGAGACACTGAGGGCTTTGGGGCGGGCAGGAGCATGTAGGGGAGAGGCCGACGCCAATCCCCCGACTCTCTGCATGGCTCACCGCTTCCCTGCTGTGTCTCCCAGAAGCAGCCATCACTGTCTGCTCCAGAACGTTCCTCTCCATCTTACTCCGCGAGGGCAGGGAAATTGGACAGTCTATTTGCTGTCACGTCCCCGTACCCACAGTGGGAGAAGCCAAGAGGAGCTGGGGCCTCACCTGGCTGGGATGGGCCTGCCAGGAATGCTGCTGGCTGGTTCCTTGTCCCAGCTGTGGGCACATTCCCAGTCCTCCGGTCGGGCTCTGTGGCGAGTCCTGAGGAGCACCCCATCCTCTGGGTCCCGGGTGGGAAGATAAAACAGAGGTCAGCAGAGCAGGGCCTGGGGCCGGACTGGATCCTGTTCTCCATTTTGTTGGCTGAAACTGTGGGCAAATTTCCCCAACCCCTCTGAGCCTCAGTTTCCCCATCTGTGCAGTGGGGACAGTAGGACTGACCCTGCAGGGATGGGTGGGGACTAAAATGGTGGGGGTGAGGCACTGAGCTCAGCATACGGCCAGAGGGAGGGCTCCGGGGCACTCCTGGGCTGGGTTATCCAATCAGAACTGCGGGAGGGCTGGGTGCGGTGCCTCACACCTGTAATCTCGGCACTTTAGAGGCCAAGGCCAGTGGATCACCTGAGGTCCGGAGTTCGAGACCAGCCTGGCCAACATGGTGAAACCCCGTCTCTACTAAAAATACAAAATTAGCCGAGCGTGGTGGCACATGCCTGTAGTCTCAGCTACTCGGGAAGCTGAGATAGGAGAATCGCTTGAACCCAGGAAGCGGAGGCTGCAGTGAGCCAAGACTGCGCCATTGCACTCCAGCCTGGGCGAGACAGGTAGAGACTCTGTCTCAAAAAAAAAAAAAAAAAAAAAGCTCTGGCCTGTGAATGCAGCCTGAGAAGCCTGGACTAGAAGCAGTTCAGCTTCCTTCCACATCCCAGGCGCCCACCCATGCTGTGGTAGGACCTGCCCTTCTCGCGGGGGAAGGGAGGCCCTTCTGACCTCCACCTTCCATGCACCAGCACCTTCTGTGTGTCCAGCACAGCTCGAGGGCCCGGTCACACAGAGGTAGGAAGGAGAAGGAGACAGACGTGGGACAAGTCAGTTCCATGAACATCACAGGGCCGGGCACGGTGGCTTGTGTCTGTGCCTTTTGGGAGGCCGAAGCGGGAGGATCGCTTGAGCCTAGGAATTTGAGACCAGCCTGGGCAACATGGTTAGACCCCATCACTACAAGAGATAAAAAATAAAATAAATCATCGCAGCGTTGCACAAAAGTCTGTGCAGGGGACAAGGGGGACAGGAAGGGAGGCTGGCCAAGCCCCCACAAATGTCTTCAGGGAAGAGCTTCCTGAGTTCTCCTTCTCCAGGGGCGGGAGCGTCCCAGGCAGACGAAACAGCGGAAGCACAGCACTGGAGGCCTGGCCTGGGCGGGAAGGGGAGGAGAGCGGCATGGCCACTCAGGGACCTGCATGGAGGTCCCACTGCCATGTGACACTCAGCAAGCTCAGATCCTTTTACAAATAATCAGCCACTTCTAGGAGAGAGATTAGTCCAGATTCCCCGGGAGCTTTTGACTTTCAGAGTCAACAAAGGATAAATTAATGCATCACTCTCTGCTCCTTCTGAGAACACGTGTCTAACCAGACCAGCTGCACCTTTGAGGCTGGGATCAGAGGGAGCAGCTGAGGGCCCAGAGTGAGCCCGAATGAGTGACTCTGGGAGCCGGGCGAGACGGGGCAGCAGGGAGGGCGCCCGCCACCCATTGTGACCCTCTGGCCTTCCCGTCCAGCCTCTTCCCACACTGTGTGCCCCCCGAGCCCTCCTTGCTCTGGGGATGGCAGAGAGGCTGAAGCCAGGAGGCTCTCAGGTATGTCATGAGTCAACCCAGACAGAAACAGAAAACGAAGGAGACAGGAGCAGGTGGGAGGGAGGGAAGAACTGGAGGGCCATGGGGAGGCTCAGGACAGGGGTGGCCCTAGCCCATCACTGGGCACTTCACTGAGACACCACACGAGGGCTTCGCCAGCTGCCCCTGTCCCCCCAGGGCAGAGAATGTGGGCAGCCCAGGCAAAGCTGTCCTGATGCCTACACCCTCAGCGCCCAGCCCTTCCAGCCATGCCACAGGAGGCTCATCCAACGGTGCGGAGAGAAGCGGGGAACAGGCCACAACTCACTGAAGGTCTCCAGAGCCTTCTCCCCACCAGCCGCAGAGCCTTCTGGAAGCATTCGGTTCATGTGCTCCTCTGATGCTGCCAGAGCTAGGGGCTGGCACCTCCTGCAGGGAACAATCAGACAGCATGCGGCTGGAGGGGCGGATGCCAGGCCTACGAAAGCAGCAGCCCTCCAGGAAGCGGAGCCCCGTGACCAGCCTGTCCCACGCCCCAATAGTCGGCTAACTGCTCCTCCTCTCCTACAGAGCCTCCCCGGCACAGCTCACAATGGCAATCAGGGCACAGATTCTTCCAGGAACTCCACAGGTACCAGACACTGCCCCATCGGGGACGCAGAGGGTGAGCACAGCCCCCAGCACAGCCTCACACCGATGCCCGTGGCAGGGGGTGAGAGGAGGCGGCGCCCTCCCTTCAAGGAAGAGCTTGTTCAATCTTCCCCCAGATTCTAGGTTCTGGGAGAGCAGAGGGCAGGGCTGGCTGGGGCAGGACTCAGGGATTACCTGTCGTCCAGCTTGGCCACTGACCGTGACACTGGGCAGGTCCCCTTCTTTCCCAACCCACAGGGCAGGGCTCGGGGGCTCTGAGGAAGGGAGGAGGGCCACCTTCTCCACTGGGCCCATGATCCTTTAGGTGTCCACAAAAATGTTTTAATTTTATTTTCCTTTTTTTTTTTTTTTTTTTTTTTGGAGACAGAGCCTCACTCTGTCACCCAGGCTGGTGTGCAGTGGCACGATCTCGGCTCACTGCAACCTCTGCCTCCCAGGTTCAATTGATTCTTGTGCCTCAGCCTCCCAAGTAGCTGGTATTATAGGCGCCCACCACCACACCCAGCTAATCTTTGTGTTTTTAGTAGAGATGGGGTTTCACCATGTTAGTCAGGCTGGTCTCGAACCCCTGGGCTCAAGCGATCTGCCTGCCTCAGCCTCCTACAGTGCTGGGATTACAGGAGTGAGCCACTGCAACCGGTTGGGATAAGCCTATTGATGGGAAGAAAAACCCCAAACACACACATACACACACACATACGAACCAAGGAGAGATGATTCCAGATTAACCCATTTTTTGTAGAAGTCAAAGGTTTTGCAGTTCCAGGATTTTGGAGCACATCTCCTATAGAAACAGAACAACAGGGTGTATGTACATGTGTGTAGAGAGACAGAGAATCACACACACAGAGATGACAAGGATTCGGCTCATGTGATTGCAGAGGTTAAGTCCCAAGATCTGCTGCAGTCGGCAAGCTGGAGGCCCAGGAGAGCGGACCACAGGGTTCCAGTCTGAGGCTTGAGGCCCAAGAAGAGCCAGCATTCAAGTTCCAAGGCAGGAAAAAGCCAGTGTCCCAGTCTGAAGGCAGGCAGTCCGGAGAATTCTCTTCCTCGGGGGAGGGTGAGGCTTTTTGTTCTATGCAGGCCTTCAACTGACTGGATGAGGCCCCCCCACACTAGGGAGCACAGTCTACTCCTCTCAGTCCACTGATTTAAATGTTAAACTCACCCACAGACACCCAGAATAATGTCTGACCACACATCTGGGAACCCCGTGGCCCAGTCAAGCTGACACATAAAAGTACCCAGGTAAGGCTGGGCGCAGTGGCTCAAGCCTGTAATCCCAGCACTTTGGGAGGCCGAGATGGGTGGATCACCTGAGGTCAGGAGTTTGAGACCAGCCTGGCCAACATGGTGAAACCCCGTCTCTACTAAAAATATACAAAATTAGCCGGGAGTGGTGGCAGGTGACTGTAATCCCAGATACTCAAGAGGCTGAGGCAGGAGAATCACTTGAACCCAGGAAGCAGAGGTTGCAGTGAGCCAAGATCGCGCCATTTCACTCCAGCCTGGGAGACAAGAGTGAAACTCCATATCAAGAAAAAACAAACGAACCAACAACCCACACACAAAAAAAGGGACCCGGGTAGGACTCCAGTGGACATGAGGGCTGGAGGGTCTCCCCTCGTGGCTCTGACTCCAAGGGCAGAGCTGAAGGGGGCAAAGGCTGTCACTGCCCCAAGCTCTGAGAGCTTCAGCCAGGTTACAAGAGACACAGGATAGTGCCAGAGGAGGAGTGACTCTTGGCAGAGCCAGGACTACCTCCAGGGGCCTCCGCCTTAGGGGGCTGTTGCTTGGCTTCACTCTTGGGTGTAAACTGGCTGATATGGTTTGGATCCATGTCCCCACCCAAATCTCATTTTGAATTGTAATCCCCAGTGTTGAAGGTGGGGCCTGGTGGGAGGTGACTGGATTATGCAGGTGGCATTCTCATGAATGGCTTAGCACCATCTAATATGGTTTGGCTGTGTCCCCACCCAAATCTCATAATCCCCACCCGTGGTGAGAGGGACCCAGTGGGAGGCAATTGGATCATGGAGGCAGTTCCCCCATGCTGTTCTCATGATATTGAGTTAGTTCTCATGAGATCTGATGGTTTTATAAGGGGCTTTCCCCACTTTCATTCTGTACTTCTCCTTCCTGCTGCCATGTGGAGAAGGACATGTGTTTGCTTCCCCTTCTGCCATGGTTGTAAGTTTCCTGAGGCCTCCCAAGCCATGCTGAACTGGGACTCAATTAAGCCTTTTCTGTTTATAAGTTACCCAGTCTTGGGTATGTCCTTATTAGCAGAATGAGGATGGACTAATGCACCATCCTCCCTTGGTACTGTATAGTGAGTGAGTTACCAAAAGATCTGGTTGTTAAAAAGTGTGTGGCAGGCTGGATGCGGTGGCTCACGCCTGTAATCCCAGCACTTTGAGAGGCTGAGGCGGGCAGATCACGAGGTCAGGAGATCGAGACCATCATGGCTAATATGGTGAAATCCCGTTCTCTACTAAAAATACAAAAAAATTAGCCGGGTGTGGTGGCACCCACCTGTAGTCCCAGCTACTCGGGAGGCTGAGGCAGGAGAGTTGCTTAAACCCAGGAGGCGGAGGTTGCAGTGAGCCGAGATTGCACCACTGCACTCCAGTCTGGGTGACAGAACAAGACTCCATCTCAAAAAAAAAAAAGTGTGTGGCAACCTTCCCCTGGCTGTGTCTTGCTCCTGCTCCTGCCATATCAGAAGCCTGTTCCCGCTCTACCTTCCACATGAGTGAAAGCTCCCCGAGGCCTCCCCAGAAACAGATGCCGCCATGCTTCCAGTAGCCTGCAGAACCGTGAGCCAATGAAACCCGTTTTCTTTATAAATTACCCAGGCTCAGGTATTTCTTTATAGCAATGCGAGAGCAGACTAATACACCGCCCTGGCAAAGTGGAAAGGACAGGCAGGGCTTGGCAGCCAGACAAGGACTTAACTTTCAACTTGGGACTGAACATTCACCCAACGGAAACGAGATGGCTCTGCAGATGGAGCTGGAAGGGTCCCCCTTCTCTCTGCACCCCGTTCTCTCCTTCAGGAGTTGCACCGGCCTCTTGCCCCTCACTGGTTCTCAGCTCAGAGAGGGCAGGCAGCAGGTTTTTCTCTCCCTCGTGTCTCTAATCGGACATAAAGTGGCTGGGGACAGTGCAAAGAGACTCAGTAAGGGCTCATGATGATTTGTCACTGTCAAAACTGGGTCCTGGTGACAGTTTCTTAAGCCCAAAGGCAAGGTCGGAGTGGGAAATAGTCTGGTTGCTTCTATTTGAAGGCAGGACAGGTCACAGACAGTACACCACAGGGGACAGAGCTTTAATTGGAACAACCTCAGATTCTCTCCTGGGGAACAGAAGCGACCAGGAACACGGAAGCTGCTGCCCTCGGCACAGCCGGCACGCACATCGGACCAGACACGAGCTAGTGCAGGACATGTCCTCAATGGCACCTGTGCCACAGGTCACAGCAGCCCCGTGATTTGGATAGAAGACGACCTGAGTTCCTAATAACCAGTGTTAACTTTTCTTCAAGGCAAGCTAACCTGTCTAAAGCCATTAACCAAAAACAAAAAACAACCAAACAATAATAAACCTTTTTATTGTAAAGTAAACACGGAAATGCACACAAGCGCACAGAGGACCCCAGGAGCCAGGACTGCCCCGACCCCACACCACACCACAGCCTCTGCCCAGGGAGGAGCCGCTTTCCGGCTGCTGTGATGATCGCTTCCTCGTGTTTTAAAACTTACAATAGATCTGCTCCAAGAAAAAGAAAGGAATTGGGTGGGACATTTCCTACAAATTAAAGAGACTGAGCCTTCTGTTCGGGCGGGGTGGTTCACGCCTGTAATCCCAACACTTTGGGAGGCCGACGCGGGCGCATCATTTGAGGTCAGGGGTTCGAGACCAGCCTGGCCAACATAGTGAAGGTCCGTCTTTACCAAAACCACACAAAAAATAGCTGGACATGGTGGCGTATGCCTGTAGTCCCAGCTACTCAGAAGGCTGAGGCAGGAGAATCACTTCAACTCAGGAGGCAGAGGTTGCAGTAAGCCGAGATCGCACCACTGCACTCCAGCCTGGGCGACAGAGCAAGATTCCATCTCAACAACAACAAAAAAAAGATAAAGAGCCTGAGCCTTCTGACTTCAGTTTCCCACAGTACAGTTCAACAGGTTCCTTGGTCTCTATTTCTTGCAAATTGGCAGCTGGATTCAGAGACTGGATCTATTCAGTCTGGATAACAAAACTCTGGCAAGACTGTAGATCTCTAGGAGACACAGGACATCTGCTTGTCTTTTGTGTGTGTGATGTTAGCAGCTGATGCTTAATATTTCTATCTATTTATTCATCAGGATTACAGAATGATGTTATTCTATCATTTTTATAGTTAGTGAAAGTTGAAATACTTTTATAGATACTCATCTTCATCTATCGTGCATTTAGGAAAGGCTGGGATAAATGCTTGCTTCTTATTTACCAGTTTTCAAAATAAATGGTTCCCTATCATCCAAAATTATGTTATATATTAAAATTATGAACTCATGAATCTTAACATTCAATGGCGTCCTGCAATTATTATTATAGGACAATAATAATTGGGACAAGTTGAACTTGTCTCGTTTCTGGCCAGTGAAGGCCTCTTTGAGTCTGCTGAGTCCTTTTGACATGACCCTATTTTTTATTTTTCGAGATGGTCTCTCTCTGTCACCCAGGCTGGAGTGCAGTGGCACAATCTTGGCTCACTGCAACCTCCACCTTCCAGGTTCAAGTGATTCTCCTGCCTCAGCCTCCCATGTAGCTGGGATTACAGGTGCCTGCCACCACGCCTGGCTAATTTTGTATTTTTAGTAGAGACAGAGTTTCACCATGTGGGCCAGGCTGGTCTCGAACTTCTGGGCTCAAGCAATCTGCCACGTTTGCCTCCATGAGCCACTGTGCCCACCCCCTAATAGTCTTTGATCGCTTTTTTCCCAAGTGATATATGACAAGACGTCCCAGGCTCATCTGGCCCATTTCCTGTCCCAGACTTGGAATGAGTCATTTTAACAGGAACGCCTGGGTTCAATCGGGATGTTAGAGATTCTCTTTGTAATGGGCTGCTCATTGTTTCTAAGTAAATTCACTTAAACTCACCACACATACACATTTAAAGATAAAAATACCTCATGAATTCATATTAACCTTCCAATTCAAATCTGAGACTACAGGGCTTCTTCTTTTTTTTTTTTTTTTTTTTTTTTTGAGACGGAGTCTTGCTTTGTTGCCCAAGCTGGAGTGCAATGGCACAATCTCGCCTCACTGCAACCTCCGCCTCCCGGGTTCAAGCGATTCTCCTGCCTCAGCCTCCCAAGGAGCTGGGATTATAGGCGTGCACCACCATGCCCGGTTAATTTTTTTATTTTTAGTAGCGATGGGGTTTCACCTGGCCAGGCTGGTCTCGAACTCCTGACCTCAGGTGATCCGCCCACCCTGGTCTCCCAGCGATGGGATTACAGGCGTGAGCCACCACACCTGGCGACTACAGGGCTTCTATTTAACCACTCCCTGATCTATCTTCCACACAGACAACCTTCAACACAGGACCTGGGGAAAGCTGGCTGAGGACAGCCCCTAATTACTCACTTGTTACCATACAAAAACTCAGCATAACAATGTTAATACTGCCCCTAATATAACCACTAAAACAACAGATATTTGCAAATGTTCCCTCTATTCTCCTCCCATTTTAAAACACAATTTTGCTGGCCAAGCATGGTGGCTCAAATCTGTAATCCCAGCACTTTGGGATGGCAACGTGGCAGGACTGCTTAGGGCCAGGAGTTTGAGACCAACCTAGGCAACACAGCCAGACCTCATCTCTACAAAAATAAAAATAAATTAGCTGAGTGTACTTGCACATGCCTGCAGTCCTACTTGGGCAGCTGAGGCAGGAGGATCACTGGAGCCCAGGAGGTCAAGTTGGAGGCTGTAGAGAGCCGTGATTGTGCCACTGCACAGTCTGAGTGACAGAGCAAGATCGTCTCAAAAAAAAAAACAAAAACAAAAACAAAAACAGGCCAGGCATGGTGGCTCACCTGTAATCCTAACACTCTGGGAGGCCAAGGCAGGTGGATTGCTTAAGCCCAGGAGTTGGAGACCAACTTGGGCAACATGGTGAAATCCGATCTCTACCAAAAATACAAAAATTAGCTGGGTGCAGTGGTGCATGCCTGTAGTCCCAGCTACTCAGGTGGCTAAAGCTGGAGGATTGCTGGAGCTTAGGATGTTGAGATAGCAGTGAGCCACGATCAGGCTACTGCACTTCAGCCTGGGCGAGAGCAAGACCCTGTCTCAAAACAAACAAAAACTTTCGTGTGATCAATACATTGTCGGAGCCAATACACACTGCCCCCTTGCCCTCATTAGCCTCGGCTGTACAGATGGGCAGGACCCTGAGCCCACCGCCAGGTCTCATGACTCTCCACCACACTACCTGAAGCCTAGTCGCTGGATAGCTCAGGAAGGGTGGTAGGCCCAAGCTGCTGCACACTGATAGCTTTATCAGCGCCCTTTACTTTTTTTTTTTTTTTTTTTTTTGAGACGTAGTCTTGCTCTGTCACCCAGGCTGGAATGCAGTGGTGTGATCTTGGCTCACTGCAACCTCTGCCTCCTGGGTTCAAGCAATTCTGCCTCAGCCTCCCTAGTAGCTAGGATTATAGGCGCCTGCCACCATGCCTAGCTAATTTTTGTATTTTTAGTACAGATGGGGTTTCGCCACGTTGGCCAGGCTGGTCTTGAACTCCTGACCTCAGGTGATCCGCCCGCATCAGCCTCCCAAAGTGCTGGGATTACAGGCATGAGCCACTGCACCCAGCCTCTTTTCTCTTCTGTTTTCTTTCTCTCTCTTTTCTTTCTCTCTCCTTTCTTTCCTTCCTTTTTTTTCCTTCCTTCATTTTCCTTCCTTCTTTCTTTCTTTTTTGACACAGGGTCTCTCTCTGGAGTGCAGTGGTGCCATCACAGCTCCCTGCAGCCTTGACCTCCCAGGCTCAAGCAATCCTCCCACCTCAGCCTCCCAAATAGCTGGGACTACAGGCATATGCCACCATGGCCGGCTAATTTTTTTGTATTTTTTTGGTAGCGACAAAGTCTCCCTATGTTGCCCAGGTTGGTCTTGAACTCCTGGGCTCAAATGATCCTCCCACCTTGGCCTTCCAAAGTGCTGTGATTACAGGCATGAGCCACTGCACCTGGCCTTGCTGGTTCTTTAAGAGCCCCAGCTAGGACACTTGGAGACGAATGGGTCTTGCCTTTTTACCTCAGCTGGCTAACACTACAATGCCCCTTAGATTGAGAGATGTTCACTACATATTTTGAGAGACAGAAAAACCAATATTCTTTAGTTTGTTTTTTTTATTTTGGGTTTTTTGTTTTGGGCTTTTGTTTTGTTTTTTGTTTTTTTCTTGAGACGCAGTTTCGGTCTTGTCACCCAGGCTGGAGTGCAGTGGCACAATCTCGGCTCACTGCAACCTCCGCCTCCCAGGTTCAATCAATTCTCCTGCCTCAGCCTCCTGAGCAGCTGGGATTACAGGCGCCTGCCACCACGCCTGGCTAATTTTTGTATTTTTAGTAGAGGGGGTTTCGCCATGTTGGCCAGGCTGGTCTCGAATTCCTGACCTCAGGTGATGCACCTGTCTCAGTCTCCCAAACTGCTGGGATTATGGGCATGAGCCACCATGCCCAGCCTGTTTGTTTTTTGAGAGAGGGTCTCTTGTTCTGTCACCTAGGCTGGAGTGCAGTGCTGCAATCTTGGCTCGCTACAACCTCCACATCCTGGGCTCAAGCGATTCTTCCACCTCAGTCTCACAAGTAGCTGAGACTGCAGGCTCGCGCCACCATGTCTGGCTACCAGGTTCTATTTAGTTTTTTTAAAATAAAAATCTGCATGCCTCTTTCAAATCTGTAGTGGGAATCAGACCCCGCACAGGAAATGTCCATCAACTCCAGGGGCCCGGAAATGGCACTGGCCAAAAACACACGCCTGGCAGAGCCGAGCTGGTTTCCGGAAGAATGTGTCAGCAAAGCATCCCCACTTTTCTCCAGCTTGCATTTTCTCTTCAGCTTTCTCTTACGCTTTTCCAAACCACACAGCTTCTTGGGAGGCATGTTGAAGTGTTTAAAAATGAAGCAATAAAAATAAATCACTTGTTCTCGGAAGACAGCCGGCTGGTTATTTAGCTGCATGTTTCAGCGGACTAAATGCTGACACAGGGCTGTTCCTCGGGCACCCAGGCAGCTGTGCCGCAGACAGGGTGCCTCAGAAAAGACTCTTGTCATGTCCACCAAAGGACATTCTGCTCCCTGTGGTGGCCAAAAACCCCTTCACGCTGGGGCTACACAATGTGATGTGAGCACTGTGTTTTTTTTATTCCTGGGTTATTTCCACACTCCTTTTTTTTTTCTTTTGGAGACAGTTTCGCGCTTGTTGCCCAGGCTTGAGTGCAATGGTGTGATCTCCGCTCACTGCAACCTCCGCCTCCCAGGTTCGAGTGATTCTCCTGTCTCAGCCTCCCAAGTAGCTGAGATTACAGGTGCCCATCACCACACCCAGCTAATTTTTTGTAGAGAGGAGTTTTCACCATGTTGGCCAGGCTGGCCTCGAACTCCTAACCTCAGGTGATGCACCCGCTTTGGCCTCCCAGAGTACTGGGATTACGGGCATGAGCCACCACGCCTGGCCACCACACTCCTCATAATTGTCTAATTGTCCCAGGCAGCCACCCAGCCGGCCCTGGCCCTCCCTGGTGATCTGCTGGGGCTCCTCTCACCACCCCGATGCCCTTCCCACCCTAGACCCAGCATCAGTTCCCTAAAGGGTTTCTCCAGAGTTTCAAAGAGCTGGCCATAAGCTTTGTCATGCAGACACTGAATCTAGAGGACCATTTAGGACTCATTAAAAGCTCGACCTCACTCCTTACACAAAACCCACCAGATGCATCAGAGATTTCAGTGTAAAAAAATAAAGCCATGAAGGCCGGGTGCGGTGGCTCACGCCTGTAATCCCAGCACTTTGGGAGGCCGAGGCAGGAGGATCACTTGAGTTCGAGACCAGCCTGGCCAACGCAGTGAAACCCTGTCTCTACTAAAGATACAAAAATTAGCTGGGCATCATGGCACGTGCCTGTAATCCCAGCTACTTGGGAGGCTGAGGCACGACAATCACTTGAACTCGGAGGGGAAGGTTGCAGTGAGCCGAGATGGCACCACTGCACTCCAGCCTTGAGTGAGACTCTGCCTCTAAACAAAATAAAAATAAAATTTTAAAAAGCCATGAAAGTACGAGAAAAAAAGGTAGGAGGAGAATTAAACATGCAAAAGTCGTTTCCAAGCTGATACAAAACCCAGAGGCTACTGAGAAAGAGAATACCTTTGACCTCATAAATATTACGACTTTCATTGCAGCAGGTGGGGTTGAGGGGAGGAAGTCAAAGTCAAATGAGAAAAGGCAGCTGTTTCCCATCTCACTCAGAACTCAAGCCAAAAAGCTGGTGTCCTTACCAAGACCCATAAGGCCTTGCAGGACCTGACCGGCCCCCCACACCCGCCAAGTCCCGCTGACCTCATCCCTGTATTTGTCAGAATGAACTCATTTTTGCTGACCTCATCCCTCTATTTGTCAGAATGAACTCATTTTTGCTGACCTCATCCCTGTATTTGTCAGAATGAACTCATTTTGCTGACCTCATCCCTGTATTTGTCAGAATGAACTCATTTTTGCAGTGGTGACAAATAAGCCCTGATGTCTCCAAGACACGATACACTACAGATTTACTTCTCGCTCACGCTAAGTCCAGAGCGAGCCAGGCAGCTCCCCAGAGCAGCAGCGGCTCCACGCGGTGACTCACCCATCCAGGCTGCCACAATCTTGTTTCAACAAACTCAATGCGTGGCCTCCAGCCATCATCAAGAAGCAGAAGGCAGGCCAGGCATCGCTCACCTGTTCTTCATGCCTCTGCCCAGGAGTGGCCCACGTTCCTTCCCGTCATGGGGGCCTGGGCCAACTGCGCGGTGCCGCCTGTCTGTAGGGGGGCCGGTTATGGGGGTGGCCATGAATTATTTGGTGAACGTGCCTCCCTCTCCCGCAGCTCACTCGCCCGGCTACACTGACTCTGGTGCTTTATCTTGAACACCCTGAACTCCTGTCTCATGGCCTTTAAATTAGCTCTTCTCTCTTTCTGGAATGTTCTTCTCCAGGGAATCTGCTTGGCTGGTTCCCTTACCTCCCTCAGTGTAATTCAACAGAAAAGCATCAAAGAATGTAATTAGAACATGGGCAAGAGATATGAAATATTTTACCAAAAAGGATATACGGATGGCAAATAAGCACGTGAAAAGACGTTCAATATCGTGAGCCATTAGGGAAATTCACATTACGACTACAATAAGATATCACTGCGTTAACTATCAGAACGGCTGAAACAAAAAATGGTGGCAACACCAAATGCTAATGAGGATGCAGAGAAATAAGATCACGCACACACTGCTGGCGGGAACAGTACAGTTACTCTGGAAAACAGTCTGGCAGTTTCTTTTCTTTTTTTGAGACGGGATCCCACTTTGTTACCCAGGCTGGGGTGCAGTGGTGTGATGTCGGCTTATTGCAACCTTGACCTCCTGGGCTCAAGTGATCCTCCCACCTCAGCCTCCTAAGTAGCCGGGACCACAGGCACATGCCACCATGCCTGACTAATTTTCTGTATTTTTAGTAAAGATGGGATTTCACCATGTTGCCCAGGCTGGTCTCAAACTCCTGAGCTCATGTGACCCTCCTGCCTTGGCCTCCCAAAGTGCTGGGATTACAAGCGTGAGCCACTGCGCCAGGACAGCAGTTTCTTATCAAACAAAACACGCAACTAACTACCACATGACACGGCGGCTATTGTACTGCCTGGAAAAACGAAAGTTTACGTCCACATAAAAATCAGTACACCTGCCTCAGAAGGAGCAGGCATCAAAAAAAAATTGGGACTGGGCACAGTGGCTCATGCCTGTAATCCCAGCACTTTGGGAGGCCAAGGCAGGTGGATCACTTGAGGTCAGGAGTTCGAGACCTGGCCAACATGGCGAAACCCCGGTCTCTACTAAAAATACAAAAATTGGCTGGGCGTGGTGCTGCACACTTGTAATCCCAGCTACTCGGGTGGCTGAAGCAGGAGAATCACTTGAACCTGGAAAGCGGAGGTTGCAGTGAGCTGAGATCACGTCACTGCACTCCAGCCTGGGCAACAGAGTGATACTCTGTCTCAATAAATAAATAAATAATAAGACTGGTGGATTGTCCCAACATTGATAGCCTGGTTGTGGTAGTGAATTATAATTTTGCAAGATGTTGCCATTGGCGGAAAATGAGTAAAGGGTCAAAGGAATTTCTCAGTGTGATTTCTTGCAATTGCATGTGGATCTACAATTATCTCCATCAAAATTTTAATTAAAAAACAGACACAAGGGCTGGGCGTGGTGGCTCACACCTGTAATCCCAGCACTTTGGGAGGCTGAGGTGGGCGGATCACCTGAGGTCAGGAGTTCGAGACCAGCCTGGCCAACATGGTGAAAACCCATCTCTATTAAAAATACCAAAAAAATTAGCCGGGCATTGTGGCCAGTGCCTGTAATCCCAGCTACTCGGGAGGCTGAGGCAGGAGAATAATCGCTTGAACCTGGGAGGCGGAGGTTGCAGTGAGCCGAGATGGCGCCACTGCACTCCAGCCTGGGCAACAAGAGCGAAACTCCGTCTCAAACAAACAAACAAACAAAATAGACACAAGGCTTTTCCTTCATTATTGTGAAACCCAATTCAATTGCTTCATTTTGGTTTTGCTGTTTAAAAAAATAAAATAAATTAAAATAAATAAACCAGGGTGGCATTGCTAGCAAACTTGTAATCACACAGAATCCACTTTGGCTGGAAGACCCGGCTTCTGTGCAAACACTCTGGAGTCCTGTCTTCATTGACTCTGGATCTTGTGGCAAGAGAAGGTGCACAACACCGTCACCATCTGAGCACAGGGAAACACGGCCCATCTCCTCAGCTAAGTCCTAATTAGCTTAGTCCTGTGGTCGTAAAACCAAATTCCACAGGAGTGGAGAATGTCAAGAGGGGGCCGTGCACAGAATTACAATAGGTCCCTGTCCTTGCTCTTCTTGCATAGCTCAGATGTTCTCTATTTTGCTTTCAAAAGCAAAGGGCCTTCCATCCCTTCCATCCATTGCTCTCTCCATAGAGTCAGCAAAGATCAGTAGTTCATAAACTAGGAGCACAGCAGCATGTGGGTCCTTCACTCATCTACACCCTGAAAATGTTCTTGAAAAGTTCTCAAGCAAGAAGCCAACTGCTCCTCTTCCTGCGGCCCCAGCAAATCTCAGCAGGCCCCAAAGGCTGGAACCAGACAAGCGGGCCCATACATCCCCATGTCCTAGAGCAGGAACCTGGGCCACCCCTGCAGGAATCCCTGAGGATCAGGAAATCGGTTCACCAGCGTGGCTCGTCATCCAACCCCACTACAGACAGGTTTTAGATCAGTGACATTCCCAGAAGTATTTCCCCTCCATTCCCAGATCACCTGCTGTATTAGTCCATTTCCACACTGCCATAAAGATACTACCCGAGACTAGGTAATTTATCAGCCAGGGAGGTTTAATTGACTCACAGTTCCACATGGCTGGGGAGACCTCAGGAAACTTACACTCACGGCAGAAGGGGAAGCAGACGCCTTCTTCGCAAGGCAGCAGGAGAGAAAGAGAAGGAATAGGAAGGGAGAAGAGCCCCTTATAAAACCATCAGACCTCGTGAGAACCCACTCACTATCACGAGAACAGCACTGGGGAAGCTGCCTCCATGATCCAATCACCTCCCTCCCTCCACATGTGGGGATTACAATTCAAGATGAGATTTGGGTGGGGACACAGAGCCAAACCAGATCACCTGGCTCACCCAGACCTGGGACGTGGATGCCCCCTCACTTCTCAGTGTCAGGCTACTCCTCCATAAGCAGGCATCCAAGGACCCTCAAGGACCGTCGGTGGCTCCCTCCCTCCTTCCATCAAGCCTTCACCGGGTGGTTGGCCCCAAGGCCCCCATCCATGGCCCCTGCCTGCTGCTGTCTTCTGGGTTCCCTGTGCTTGCCTTCAGGGAGCTCCCAGCCTTCTGGCCATGAGCCTCGAAGTCCGGGGCTGTCTCCTCCCTCGGGGTCCTGGAAGTATCTTTCTTGCACCTGCCCCCTCCCAGGCAGGCACCTCTGAAGTCCCCCCAGTTGGGGTCCCTCGTGCTCCTAGGGCTCCTCTCCAATCCACTGCCTGCTGGGGGAGGGATGCATCCGGGGGCCTGGCCCACGGAGCCAGGCCACCGTGAAGGCCCATCTCACCTGGCACAGGCCTGGTGGACACCGGCTGGCCGCAGCATCACCGAGCCTTCCAGAGGCAGGGTGCCGTCCCCACAGGCCGGCCCGGGCAGCATCTGCTGCTTCCCGCTGTGGCCAGCAGGCAAAAGAATCCCTCCCTGAGTCCCAGGAAGGGAGGGAAAGTCCAGACTAGCACTGAGACACTGAGGGCTTTGGGGCGGGCAGGAGCATGTAGGGGAGAGGCCGACGCCAATCCCCCGACTCTCTGCATGGCTCACCGCTTCCCTGCTGTGTCTCCCAGAAGCAGCCATCACTGTCTGCTCCAGAACGTTCCTCTCCATCTTACTCCGCGAGGGCAGGGAAATTGGACAGTCTATTTGCTGTCACGTCCCCGTACCCACAGTGGGAGAAGCCAAGAGGAGCTGGGGCCTCACCTGGCTGGGATGGGCCTGCCAGGAATGCTGCTGGCTGGTTCCTTGTCCCAGCTGTGGGCACATTCCCAGTCCTCCGGTCGGGCTCTGTGGCGGGTCCTGAGGAGCACCCCATCCTCTGGGTCCCGGGTGGGAAGATAAAACAGAGGTCAGCAGAGCAGGGCCTGGGGCCGGACTGGATCCTGTTCTCCATTTTGTTGGCTGAAACTGTGGGCAAATTTCCCCAACCCCTCTGAGCCTCAGTTTCCCCATCTGTGCAGTGGGGACAGTAGGACTGACCCTGCAGGGATGGGTGGGGACTAAAATGGTGGGGGTGAGGCACTGAGCTCAGCATACGGCCAGAGGGAGGGCTCCGGGGCACTCCTGGGCTGGGTTATCCAATCAGAACTGCGGGAGGGCTGGGTGCGGTGCCTCACACCTGTAATCTCGGCACTTTAGAGGCCAAGGCCAGTGGATCACCTGAGGTCCGGAGTTAGAGACCAGCCTGGCCAACATGGTGAAACCCCGTCTCTACTAAAAATACAAAATTAGCCGAGCGTGGTGGCACATGCCTGCAGTCTCAGCTACTCGGGAAGCTGAGATAGGAGAATCGCTTGAACCCAGGAAGCGGAGGCTGCAGTGAGCCAAGACTGCGCCATTGCACTCCAGCCTGGGCGAGACAGGTAGAGACTCTGTCTCAAAAAAAAAAAAAAAAAAAAAAGCTCTGGCCTGTGAATGCAGCCTGAGAAGCCTGGACTAGAAGCAGTTCAGCTTCCTTCCACATCCCAGGCGCCCACCCATGCTGTGGTAGGACCTGCCCTTCTCGCGGGGGAAGGGAGGCCCTTCTGACCTCCACCTTCCATGCACCAGCACCTTCTGTGTGTCCAGCACAGCTCGAGGGCCCGGTCACACAGAGGTAGGAAGGAGAAGGAGACAGACGTGGGACAAGTCAGTTCCATGAACATCACAGGGCCGGGCACGGTGGCTTGTGTCTGTGCCTTTTGGGAGGCCGAAGCGGGAGGATCGCTTGAGCCTAGGAATTTGAGACCAGCCTGGGCAACATGGTTAGACCCCATCACTACAAGAGATAAAAAATAAAATAAATCATCGCAGCGTTGCACAAAAGTCTGTGCAGGGGACAAGGGGGACAGGAAGGGAGGCTGGCCAAGCCCCCACAAATGTCTTCAGGGAAGAGCTTCCTGAGTTCTCCTTCTCCAGGGGCGGGAGCGTCCCAGGCAGACGAAACAGCGGAAGCACAGCACTGGAGGCCTGGCCTGGGCGGGAAGGGGAGGAGAGCGGCATGGCCACTCAGGGACCTGCATGGAGGTCCCACTGCCATGTGACACTCAGCAAGCTCAGATCCTTTTACAAATAATCAGCCACTTCTAGGAGAGAGATTAGTCCAGATTCCCCGGGAGCTTTTGACTTTCAGAGTCAACAAAGGATAAATTAATGCATCACTCTCTGCTCCTTCTGAGAACACGTGTCTAACCAGACCAGCTGCACCTTTGAGGCTGGGATCAGAGGGAGCAGCTGAGGGCCCAGAGTGAGCCCGAATGAGTGACTCTGGGAGCCGGGCGAGACGGGGCAGCAGGGAGGGCGCCCGCCACCCATTGTGACCCTCTGGCCTTCCCGTCCAGCCTCTTCCCACACTGTGTGCCCCCCGAGCCCTCCTTGCTCTGGGGATGGCAGAGAGGCTGAAGCCAGGAGGCTCTCAGGTATGTCATGAGTCAACCCAGACAGAAACAGAAAACGAAGGAGACAGGAGCAGGTGGGAGGGAGGGAAGAACTGGAGGGCCATGGGGAGGCTCAGGACAGGGGTGGCCCTAGCCCATCACTGGGCACTTCACTGAGACACCACACGAGGGCTTCGCCAGCTGCCCCTGTCCCCCCAGGGCAGAGAATGTGGGCAGCCCAGGCAAAGCTGTCCTGATGCCTACACCCTCAGCGCCCAGCCCTTCCAGCCATGCCACAGGAGGCTCATCCAACGGTGCGGAGAGAAGCGGGGAACAGGCCACAACTCACTGAAGGTCTCCAGAGCCTTCTCCCCACCAGCCGCAGAGCCTTCTGGAAGCATTCGGTTCATGTGCTCCTCTGATGCTGCCAGAGCTAGGGGCTGGCACCTCCTGCAGGGAACAATCAGACAGCATGCGGCTGGAGGGGCGGATGCCAGGCCTACGAAAGCAGCAGCCCTCCAGGAAGCGGAGCCCCGTGACCAGCCTGTCCCACGCCCCAATAGTCGGCTAACTGCTCCTCCTCTCCTACAGAGCCTCCCCGGCACAGCTCACAATGGCAATCAGGGCACAGATTCTTCCAGGAACTCCACAGGTACCAGACACTGCCCCATCGGGGACGCAGAGGGTGAGCACAGCCCCCAGCACAGCCTCACACCGATGCCCGTGGCAGGGGGTGAGAGGAGGCGGCGCCCTCCCTTCAAGGAAGAGCTTGTTCAATCTTCCCCCAGATTCTAGGTTCTGGGAGAGCAGAGGGCAGGGCTGGCTGGGGCAGGACTCAGGGATTACCTGTCGTCCAGCTTGGCCACTGACCGTGACACTGGGCAGGTCCCCTTCTTTCCCACCCCACAGGGCAGGGCTCGGGGGCTCTGAGGAAGGGAGGAGGGCCACCTTCTCCACTGGGCCCATGATCCTTTAGGTGTCCACAAAAATGTTTTAATTTTATTTTCCTTTTTTTTTTTTTTTTTTTTTTTGGAGACAGAGCCTCACTCTGTCACCCAGGCTGGTGTGCAGTGGCACGATCTCGGCTCACTGCAACCTCTGCCTCCCAGGTTCAATTGATTCTTGTGCCTCAGCCTCCCAAGTAGCTGGTATTATAGGCGCCCACCACCACACCCAGCTAATCTTTGTGTTTTTAGTAGAGATGGGGTTTCACCATGTTAGTCAGGCTGGTCTCGAACCCCTGGGCTCAAGCGATCTGCCTGCCTCAGCCTCCTACAGTGCTGGGATTACAGGAGTGAGCCACTGCAACCGGTTGGGATAAGCCTATTGATGGGAAGAAAAACTCCAAACACACACATACACACACACATACGAACCAAGGAGAGATGATTCCAGATTAACCCATTTTTTGTAGAAGTCAAAGGTTTTGCAGTTCCAGGATTTTGGAGCACATCTCCTATAGAAACAGAACAACAGGGTGTATGTACATGTGTGTAGAGAGACAGAGAATCACACACACAGAGATGACAAGGATTCGGCTCATGTGATTGCAGAGGTTAAGTCCCAAGATCTGCTGCAGTCGGCAAGCTGGAGGCCCAGGAGAGCGGACCACAGGGTTCCAGTCTGAGGCTTGAGGCCCAAGAAGAGCCAGCATTCAAGTTCCAAGGCAGGAAAAAGCCAGTGTCCCAGTCTGAAGGCAGGCAGTCCGGAGAATTCTCTTCCTCGGGGGAGGGTGAGGCTTTTTGTTCTATGCAGGCCTTCAACTGACTGGATGAGGCCCCCCCACACTAGGGAGCACAGTCTACTCCTCTCAGTCCACTGATTTAAATGTTAAACTCACCCACAGACACCCAGAATAATGTCTGACCACACATCTGGGAACCCCGTGGCCCAGTCAAGCTGACACATAAAAGTACCCAGGTAAGGCTGGGCGCAGTGGCTCAAGCCTGTAATCCCAGCACTTTGGGAGGCCGAGATGGGTGGATCACCTGAGGTCAGGAGTTTGAGACCAGCCTGGCCAACATGGTGAAACCCCGTCTCTACTAAAAATATACAAAATTAGCCGGGAGTGGTGGCAGGTGACTGTAATCCCAGATACTCAAGAGGCTGAGGCAGGAGAATCACTTGAACCCAGGAAGCAGAGGTTGCAGTGAGCCAAGATCGCGCCATTTCACTCCAGCCTGGGAGACAAGAGTGAAACTCCATATCAAGAAAAAACAAACGAACCAACAACCCACACACAAAAAAAGGGACCCGGGTAGGACTCCAGTGGACATGAGGGCTGGAGGGTCTCCCCCCGTGGCTCTGACTCCAAGGGCAGAGCTGAAGGGGGCAAAGGCTGTCACTGCCCCAAGCTCTGAGAGCTTCAGCCAGGTTACAAGAGACACAGGATAGTGCCAGAGGAGGAGTGACTCTTGGCAGAGCCAGGACTACCTCCAGGGGCCTCCGCCTTAGGGGGCTGTTGCTTGGCTTCACTCTTGGGTGTAAACTGGCTGATATGGTTTGGATCCATGTCCCCACCCAAATCTCATTTTGAATTGTAATCCCCAGTGTTGAAGGTGGGGCCTGGTGGGAGGTGACTGGATTATGCAGGTGGCATTCTCATGAATGGCTTAGCACCATCTAATATGGTTTGGCTGTGTCCCCACCCAAATCTCATAATCCCCACCCGTGGTGAGAGGGACCCAGTGGGAGGCAATTGGATCATGGAGGCAGTTCCCCCATGCTGTTCTCATGATATTGAGTTAGTTCTCATGAGATCTGATGGTTTTATAAGGGGCTTTCCCCACTTTCATTCTGTACTTCTCCTTCCTGCTGCCATGTGGAGAAGGACATGTGTTTGCTTCCCCTTCTGCCATGGTTGTAAGTTTCCTGAGGCCTCCCAAGCCATGCTGAACTGGGACTCAATTAAGCCTTTTCTGTTTATAAGTTACCCAGTCTTGGGTATGTCCTTATTAGCAGAATGAGGATGGACTAATGCACCATCCTCCCTTGGTACTGTATAG